>NC_000021.9:6789085-6934219 GCF_000001405.40 Homo sapiens | reverse complement strand
GATCTACAAAGGTCATATACATACATTACTCCCAGTTTTACAGCTAGACATGTAATGTGGAATCAGTTCCACATATGAATATAGATCAGTCTGAATCTAAAAGTCATGGTGTTCCCATGATGACTCATGAGTTTGCTTCTTGAATGTGGAAACATACGATGCTTTGCATATGAGGGAAGATAAATGTAATTGATGTTGGGTATGCAATGTACCTTTTTTCTTCAGGGACTCTTATTGGGACTTGTAAGGACACATAAATGAAAAACAGTTACCTTCTAGTAGGTCTAAATGTCAGTGTAGCATAACAAGGGGATGGGCGCAGAGCCCCTGGAAGCAGCAGGGTTTATGTTAGAGTTGAATGTTCCATCTTTGGAGCTGTTTGTTGGATAAATGAAGAAACACAAAAGTAGTAATTGTTCAGGAGGTAGCAAGTGGCATGTGGTGTTGGTTTAATTAGAAGAGGTGAAAGCAGAGCTGAACTATTCAATGAAACAGACATTTATTTAGCTCTTACCTTCAATGAAACAGACATTTATTTAGCTCTTAATATATATATTACACAATGAGAGAATACAGTGATGCCTAAACCATGGCAGGGTACAATAGGATATAATATTATACGAGATGGTGCACTGAAAGTGGTTTTTTTTCTTGTTTTAAAAGCAGCTTCTTTCTTGCTCTAATCTTTGTAAAACTAAAAGCAAAATCTGCACCTGTGTGGAGGAGATATGGTGCAGAGCTCTCAGTAAGGACTGAGCCAGTTAATAAATTTGCAGCCCCTTTTCACCTTGTCACCATCTCGCTGTCTATATGGCAGCATCTGTGGCCTCTATCACACATTTTGCTTCTCTTACTTTCTTTATACTCTTATCCAGTTCAGCTTTGTTTGTCATCTCTTATGCAACCTACACAAGTGGAATTCTCCTTGGACTCTTTTGTCTCAAACATAAATTGAAAAACCACAACTTTGGCAATGGCCTGCTGGGTGCATTTCAGTACACTATATCTCAACCAACTGAGTCAAAAGGGGCAACTTGTTTTTACTGACAACCTAAAGACAAAGGCTCTTCAGGGCTATGAGGAAAGCTTACTTTGAAAGTGCAGTAAAGGGGATTTTAAAGAAGAAAACAAATGGCAATGGAATTTTACTGTTTCCAGGAAACAAAAAATTAGAATTTGTAGACTCTAAACTCAGACTGCTGGAAAAATAATTGGGCCTTTATTTGTTCCCTTTAGAAAAGAGAAAAAAAAAATCTCTTAATTCTCCTGGGAGAATTAATTGCAGATGGAGAGTAGATTCTTAGGAATTTCTCACAAGGGAATCAATGGCACATCCTGCCTGCCCTGTCCCCAAGCTAGATCAGCTGCTTCCTGGCCAGGAGACCACAATTATCACGTGACTTCAGTGGCACTGGCAGCTCCCCTACATACCAGACCCAACCAATAGCTCATGTTGAGAATGGTGCCTGAGAGGCCCCAGTGAACTGGCAGGGGGCATGGGGCTTTCTTGCTGGAGAGAAACCTGTCCAATGACTTTGCAGTGTGCTCAAGGTTTACATGGGGTTTTCTGGAGAGATAGTGGTAGGGGTGAAAGGCATTTATCTGAGCTTTGCCATTGCCTTTTTCTAGGGCCTTATCCTAGCTCTCTTGCTCTTCATTCTTACCATGACAGAAAATACGGAGCAATCACAGGGACTCTTTTCTTGTATAAGCAGAGATATCATGCACAGATCTGGTGACTCTGAAAATGCAGTGGGAGGGGCTCAAGAGCTCTCATGCATTCAAGGTGGAAAAAGCCCCTCACTACTCACTGTACATCCATCCTCAAACTGACACACGTTGGCTCTTCTCTCATCCTCTAGAGCTAAAACATAAGCTGAAGGTGGCCCTACACTCCTTCTTCTTTATAGGAACACATTGCCCATGAACTGAGTCAGATAGCCCCATAGGAAAACATAGGTGAGAAAAGTTTGGGGAAAGAACTTGAAGTAGCATGAACTAGAGAACACTCTGGAAGAGTTAAGAAAAGGTGCACTTTTTTTCCCCTAGGAGGTCCAAGGACTGTGAGGAAGATTCAATAGAACTATTCAATAGCTAGTTATTCACAAGATTTATTTCTTTCCACACTGTAGGCAGTGTTTCCCAGTCTCCCTTGCAGTTAGGTGGCATGCAACTGCATTCAGCCTGTGGGAAGTGGGCAGAAGTGATTACTGACCTCAGCCACTTACCCTCCTGTGTACAATTCTTTCTCTTCACTTGCTACTGAATATTGACACTCAGGGAGATCCCAGAAGCTCCATGCTGAAAATGGTGGATCCTCTTTCAGCCTCAATCTCTGAAAGACTATGTAGACCCTTCTCTCCTCTTCTCCTTATAAGTAGAAGAAAGACCAGAGCATGCTCTCTCTCCCCCTGCCCAGCATTGAGAGCACAGAGGAAAGAAGATGTGAGGGCATAGTGAGAAGGAGGCCATCTATGAGCTAGATGTTGTGGGAAGTCAGGGACCCCGAATGGAGGGACCAGCTGCAGCCAAGGCAGAAGAACATAAATTGTGAAGATTTCATGGACATTTATCAGTTCCCCAAATTAATACTTTTATAATTTCTTACACCTGTCTTTACTGCAATCTCTGAACATAAATTGTGAAGATTTCATGGACTTTTATCACTTCCCCAATCAATACTCTTATAGTTTCTTATGCCTGTCTTTAATCTCTTAATCCTGTTATCTTTGTAAGCTGAGAATGTACATCACCTCAGGACCACTATTATATAAACTGATTGTAAAATATGCGTGTTTGAACAATACCAAATCAGTGGATTTCATCACCCGATTTGTGCATGATATCTCTGCTTATACTGAAAAAGAACAGAGTAACAGATTTTCAGGGAACAAGGGAAGACAACCATAAGATCTGACTGCCTGCAGGGTCGGGCAGAATACAGCCATATTTTTCTTCTTGCAGAGATCCTATAGACAGATGTGTGAGTAGGAGAAATATCGCTGAATTCTTTTTCAAAAGGAATATTAATAATTGATAACCCTGGGGAAGGAATGCATTCCTGGGGGTAGGTCTGTAGACGGCTGCTCTGGGAGTGTCTGTCTTATGTGGTTGAAGTAAGGACTGAAATACACCCTGGTCTCCTGCAGTACCCTTGGGCTTACTAGGATTCAAAAATTCCAGCCTGGTAAATTCTAGTCAGACCGATTGTCTGCTCTCGAACCCTGTTTCCTGCTAAGATGTTTATCAAGACAATGCATGCACAGTGGGACATAGACCTTCATCAGTAATTCTAATTTTGCCTTCACCTTGTGATATGTATTGCCCTTTGAAGCATGTGATCCCTGTGACCTACTCTCTGTTTGTACACCCCCTCCCCTTTTAAAATCTCTAATAAAAACTTGCTGGTTTTGTGGCTCATGGTTGCCATCACAGTCCTACCAATATGTGATGACACCCCCAGGGGCCCAGCTGTAAAATTTCTCTCTTTGTATTCTTTCTCTTTATTTCTCAGACCAGCCGACACTTAGGGAAAATAGAAAGAACCTATGTTGAAATATTGGGTGCTGGTTCCCCCGATAGCGAGGAAAAGAGCCCTCACTAGACATCAACCCTGACAGCATCTTAATCTTGAATTTCTAGCCTCCAGAACTGTGATTTAAAAATGCTTTGTTTTTTAAGCCAAACAGTCTATGGTATTTTGTTATGGCAGCCTAAGCAGACTAATACAACCATAGATCCCACTCTCACCCTAATCCTTGTTGCAGATTGAATTTTACATTATGAAAAATAAACATCTCTTTTTGTTAAGCCACTGAGATGTCAGGCTTTATCTCTTACAACAGCTGGTGTTTAATTTCTGATACAAAGACCACATAGAGCTAATCAAGTGTCTGATATCCCTTTTCTCAAAATGTACAGGCTGGATTTTTATAGGCAAACTCTACCTTAAGTGCAAAACATTCCTTAGGGTCAATACCCAAGCTTATTACCAAAAAAAAAAAAAAAAAAAAAAGCTAACTAATACTTCATTAACAGATATTTAAAAAATAAGAATACTTATTTAAGCCAGCTAGTTTTTCAAACATTTTATGACTCTTAGCTCATTTCATTCTCATAGAAATCTATGAGGTATAATTCTTTTTTTTTTTTTTGCGTTTTTAAATTTTTATTTTTTAGAGACAGGATCACTCTGTCACCCAGGCTGGAGTGCTGTGGCACAGTCTTGGCTCACTATAGCCATGGCCTCCTACGCTCAAGCAATCCTCCCATCTCAGCCTCCCCAGTAGCTAGGAGTACAGGCACGCACCACCACGCCTGGCTAATTTTTGTATTTTTTTGTCAAGATGGGGTCTCACTATGTTGGCTGGTCTTGAACTCCTGGCCTCAAGTGATATGCCTGCCTTGGCCTCCCAAAGTGCTGGGATTACAGGTGTGCGCCACTGCGCCTGGCCAGGTTTTTCACAAGAAACCCAGACCGTGGGATTAGGATGCTGGAGAAAGTGGAAGCCGCCCCCATCCGCACCCCCACCACACTTCCCTGCGTGCATCCCACAGACGTTGTTCCCAACACTCGCTCTACCACAAAAATGGTTTTGTCGCAAGCATTGGTTTGTGACCAGCTCCTCTGAAGCCAGAAGCCCGTTCTCTAAGGAGCTGGGGCTGGGCAGCCAAGCCGGCCCCGGCTGAGAGAGCATGGGATCTGCTGCCTGTGGCTCCTGTACGCCTGTCTGTCCCATCGGCTGGGGCCTTGGAGGGTGTCCAGGCTGTCTCTGTGGATGCCGTGTCTGCTCGTGTCAGGGAAGGGCCAGGACACTGAAAAGAAGGGACGCAGGCTCCAACTCGCCTCGGCCACCCACTCTCCAGGCAGCCTTGGCAGGGCTGCTGGGGCTATGAACCCTGAGCAGGCAGCAGGGCCAGGGGAGGTCGGACCATGGGGGCTCACAACAAGAGGGGCTGTGCACAGGGGCCACCCACATGCCCTGGAGCCAGGAGGCCCTGGAGTCCCTGGGACCACCCCCACCCCAGGCAGCCTGGGAAGGCTCAGGGTGCTGGGCCCCCACCTGGGAGCTGAGAGTGGTCCTGCTCTGCACTTCCCAGACACCCCCAGCAGGGTGCACCACCACACCCAGCCTGCCCAGCTCTGCTGCAGGACATGGGCCAGCGAGGCCCCACAGAGCACTGGGACGGGGGGAGCTCGGGCAGGGGGAGCCAAGCTGGGCGTCAGGGGCCTGGGGACGCACCACCCCCTTGGTTTCCACAACTTGAAAACAAGAACTGATCAGTCACTGATTCACAGTCCAAAAACCAACCCCCAAATCCCAGGGCTTCTAGCAACAAAGGAGGACCTCTCTCACTTCTGGGTCAGCAAGAACTTCAGGGCTGGGCCCACTCCACGTCTCCTCCCTGCAGAAGGACCCTCTGCTCTCCGTCCCCAGAGCAAGGCAGTGGGCTGCCTGGGTTTGGAGCAGCTGGGTAGGGCGAGGGCAATGGGTGGGATAGGGGGGATGCAGCCCAGGGGGGTGCAGACAACAGGCAAGGAGCAGGCCGGGGGCCTTGCCAGGGCCATCTGTGTCCCTGGTCACTGAGGGTGGCAGGGGAGACTGGAAGGGAAACAGACACCCAGGTGGGGAGGGCCCCAAGCCAGTCCCCACGCCAGCCCCTGCAGGCCTCAGTGCTTCTGGATCCCACCAGGGTCGCAGCAGGAACCGAGGCTGAAGCAAATCAGGGCGGCTGGTGGCACAGCTGGGGCCACACCCAGGCACAATTCCTTTCCAACACAGCCAGGAGACTATCTTGGCGGCACCAGTGCCTGCTCAGGGACGGACTTGGGGCCTCCACAACTGCAGTCCCTACGAACCCTGTGCACGGTACACCCTGACTGCGTGGGGGCTGGGGCCCCCAGTGGAGGGATGTGGCTTGTTGTCCTGAGGAGAGCGGGGGCAGCTGTCCCAGGGTGGGCCCAGCCCTGTGAATCAGGGAGCAGCTCATGGGAATGGCCCTGGGGGTGCAGGGGAAGTTCACAGAGCCATTTATTGAGCCCCACAACCGACCAGAGGGAAGGGCGTCCACCAGGCTCAGGCCATGGTCCTTGAGGGGCTGGTGCTGTCTACTTGGCCCACACATGTGTCCCGAGGAGTTGTGGCATGCCCGCTGCCCTGGTCAGAGCTGGCCACCATCTTCCAGCTGCATCTGCCGGGCCAGCGTCTGCCCAATGGCTAACAGGGGGCTGGCTCTGTAGGCCGGACTGGCCAGCAGCTCCTGAAACCGGGTCCTTTCTTCCTCGAGAAACTGCTGTCTCTGGGCTGCACTCATCCGGCTGAGCTCTGAGGGCCAGGGCTTGTTGCTCTCCCTGCTGCAGGCCTGGCGCCGGCTGCCAGCCTCAAGCCCCAGTAGCTCAGGCAGGGCATCCCTGAGCGGGTGCAGGTCCCCCACCACCATCCTGGCCCCCTACCTCCGCTCCTCCCTGTGCTTCTGCTCAGCCAGTTTTATGGCTTCGATTTTCTGCAACCATTGCTCACGCCTCAGCTTCATTTTCTCCTTGGGCAAAACGGTCTTGGCCTCTGCACCTCTCCTGATGGAAGTGACGCTCCTTACGTCCAGCTCCAGCTTTTGCACCAAGGCGCTGGGGTCTATCTTGGTCCTGGCAAAGATGTTGGTGTTGACGAACGGAGGTATAATTCTTATTAGTCCTGTTTTTATAGATGAAGACAATGAAACAGCTATTGCAAACTTATAACTGAGAAAGAGATCTGACCTAACCAACTGCATCTGCTTTTAACCTCCAAGCTGTCCTTGTTCATTCCTGGGTGTAGGGTGAACTAACTTTGGGAGGAACTTACTTTATAGTGTAAAACGAAGATGTTAACACCCCTTTCTCAAAACAAACCTCCTTCTTGCCTGGGGACTAGACTGCCTTTGTAAGACTAACAAATTAGCTACAAAATTAGAAATTGTGGTTTAGGAGTCATGCAGCTAGAGGCTACAAGATTCTAATCCTCCCTAAACTGCTCCTAAGATCAGTGCTTGAGGTATTTTGCAGACCCGGCACTTGATGGATCAGCTGGCACCCAGTTTATTGAAACACTCAGATCGATAAACTGGCTCATCTGATCTTGTGGCCCCCACCCAGGAACGGACTCAGTGAAAGAGGACAGCTTCAATTCCCTATGATTTTGTCTCTGACCTAACCAATCAGCACTCTGGACTCACTGGCCTTCCTCCATGCACCAAATTATCCTTAAAAACTCTGAAAGCTCTGGGAGATGGATTTGAGAAATAATGAATCTCCAGTCTCCTGTACAGCTGACTCTGTGTGAATTCACTCTTTCTCTATTGCAATTCCCATCTTGATTAATTGGCTCTGTCTAGGCAGTGGCCAAGGTAAACCCACTGGACGTTTACAACACTGAGGCACAGACAGGTTGAGTGACCAACCCAAAGTTTCACAGGACACAGTAGAGTCAGGATTTGAACACAGACATTCTGACTCCAGAGTCTATGCCCTTAACCACAACTCATACTAATTCATTTATCTTTTTTGTCCATGTTTTCATTTATTTTCTTTAATCTACAATAAAACTTTGATTTTTACACTGGCTGAGGATGAAGTAAGAATGTTGCAAATAGAAAAATGTTAACTGAAAGACACAATTTATCTTATTCTAGCACCAAAAATGATCAGGCCTATTTTGACCATGAATCTCGCAAGCTGTGCTCTCTAAACTTTTGGATGAGAGGGCGTAGGCTCAGAGTCTGGGAACTCTGTCTCCCTCGCTCCCTCTACTAAGTAGGTTCCATGCTCTATTCAAGTTTGAGAGACTCTGCTTGGTTGGGGCCTGCATTTATGTTACTCCTATTCTTTATACTTGGCACATCACAGACCATGAAAACGTAATCTGGTGGAAATGGCAAGTTTGGATTTTTAATCTCAGTTGTTAAAATTTTTCCAAATGAGAACATTTGGACACAGGGCAGGGAACATCACACCATAGGGCCTGTTGTGGGGTCGGGGGAGCGGGGAGGGATAGCATTAGGAGAAATACCTAAGGTAAATGACAAGTTAATGGGTGCAGCAAACCAACATGGCACATGTATACCTATGTAACAAACCCGCATGTTGTGCACATGTACCATAGAACTTAAAGTATAATTAAAAAAATAAAAAATTTAAAAAAATTTCCAAATATATTTATCTTTTGAATAATCTAAGGCCCTTATCCCCCTAAGGTTTACATGGCATAGTTCATACTGCTTTTACTTTTCAAAGCCGTTAATCTTTTGTAATAACATTTTGTATTCAGTTATGTTCCTTTGCTTAGTTTTCAACCTTGTTATTCACCAAGCTGATTTTATTAATTAACACAGAGAGAGTCAGGAGTATCTGAATTAATTAGGTGATAGTGAACTAGGAGGAAATCACAGGCCTCAGTGTGAGACAAATCTGGATTTAAATCCCAGCTCTAACTCAGTCCATGACCTTGAGGAGGTCAGGTGGGGTCACTGGGCTCAGTTTCCAAATCTCTAAAATGGAGATGACAAAATCCACCTCACAGAATTGTTGAAAGGACAATTACATGTTTGAGAACATGTTACTGTAGTGTCTATAACCTATCACGTGTATAGCAAATGATGATGATGATGATGCTAATTTAAAAAATATCTATTGAAGGTCCCAGAAGTTTTACTTTAACATGTTGATTTTTGTCCCATGGAAAGGCACATGATTTGGTGGAAAATATAACCCCAAATGTTATTATGCATTGCTCTGTAAGATATTAACAAGTTTTATATATAACCCAAATATCTTAACATTTTAAAATTAAATGGTCTATAAATACCTAGCTCCTCAAATATTGTTTGAACTGGTCTTAATATCTAATTGTTTCCCCACCTAATTAATGAGTTGAACAAAATCCTTGCCATATATTCATATTATATTTGCATCAGTGTCCTAATTATATCGTTTGAAATTATACTTTAGCAATAAGAATAAAAGTCATAATCCAAATGTTAGCACTTAGCATGGGAATGAGTCTATCAGTCAGGGTTTAGTCAAGAAAAACTGGTTTCTCTAGATAATCCAAATTAAAAAGGTTTAATGCAGATGTCAAGAAGCCTATACAACCATTGGAAGACTAGGGGAAGCTGAGGTCAATGAAGCCACGGTGGACAACCTCAGCTCAGCTCCCAGCTGAATAGTTTCCTCTTCATTGTCCATTGTCCTTGAACTTCCAGATATTTCTCTTCAACCATCACAGTCTGCAGTGATGAAGGAGTGGCTTTCTGGTGGAGCCTCTTAGCATCTCATGGTTGTCCACATTTCTGCCTTTAACCCCCTTTAGCCTGTCATTTGTTTCAGCCTTCCAAATCTTCAGCAAGGGAAGGGACTTCTTGGTAAACCAACCTGTAACCATATGGGAAGGGCATTCTGCAAATATAGCTCCCAACTTTTCTGAAAGACAGAGGAACCCTTAGAAGGGAGAGTTGGTGATGCCAAATTGGCAATAAATAACCCAGGACTGCAGCTCAGCTCAGCACCTAACTCCATAGGGCACTCACTCACTTCAGGAAGGGTGCATTTACTCAGTAAGACAGATTAAAGGATCACTTGGTTGGTATGGACTCAGACAAAAGTGAGCTAAGTGATCTTTAAACAAATTTGACCAAGCTGAGAAATACCAAAGACTTATGATTTTTCAATCAGAAAACACAGCATGGAATAGCAGAAAGAGTACCAGACTGGAAGCCAGAGAACCTGGAATCCAGCTCAGCCTATCCTGAACTTGCTAGCTGGGGAAGCCCTCAGGGTGGTCACTTCACCTCTCTGTAATTCAAGTTTTGTCTTCTATGAAACAAGGAAAATAGTATCTGTCATGCCTCAGAGAATCACCACAAGGTTAACATATGTGGAAATATTTTAAAGTGTACAAACACCATATCAACATTAAAGTCCCCATATGAACATGAAGACCTAAGGTTTTCTTGGTTTAGTCTGAAGAAGCTTCCAACACAAGGCTGGATTAGGAAAGATGAAAATGAAATAAAAGTTGGACAGGGGCTGGGCGCAGTGGCTCACGCCTGTAATCCCAGCACTTTGGGAGACCAAGGCGGGCAGATCATGAGGTTAAGAGATTGAGACAAGCTTGGCCAACATGGTGAAACACCGTCTCTACTAAAAATACAAAAATTAGCTGGGCATGGTGGCAAGTGCCTGTAATCCCAGCTACTCAGGAGACTGAGGTAGGAGAATCACTTGAACCTGGGAGGCGGAGGTTGCAGTGAGCCAAGATCACACCATTCCACTCCAGCTTGGGTGACAAGAGCAAAACTCCATCTCAAAAAAAAAGTTGGACTGGGAGCCTTACAGAGTTCACACATATTTGTAACATTCTTCAGATGTCGTGTGCACAAATTGGAGTTATTAGTCCAATATTTATAAAGAAAAATCATATTTTGAATGTAGCCAAATAACTTCCTAATTAAAATGATATGATCCTTAGAAGGTTTTTGGGGAGGAGGTAATGGAGAGAGGATCAGAATTAGGAGGATCAAAGTAGAATGCATATACTTGAAAGTAAATATAAGGCCAGGTGCGGTGGCTCACGCCTGTAATCCCAGCACTTTGGGAGGCCGAGGCAGGCGGATCACCTGAGGTCAGCCTGACCAACATGGAGAAACCCCGTCTCTACTAAAAACACAAAATTAGCCGGTCATGGTGGCGCATGCCTGTAATCCCAGCTACTCAGGAGGCTGAGGCAGAAGAATTGCTTGAACCCGGGAGGTGGATTGCAGTGAGCTGAAATCGGGCCATTGCACTCCAGCCTGGGCAACAAAAGCGAAACTCCATCTCAAAAAAAAAAAAGAAAAAAAAGAAAAGAAAAGAAATATAATCTTTGGCCAAAGAAAAATAAAAGCTCTACCTAATCAGTCTGCAGAAATGCCTAGAAAATAAACCATCTTCTAAGTATATCAGCGATTTTAAAGATGATAAAGTATGAGGAAGGGGGGGAGTTGTCTATGAGAAAAAGTATATAATTTTACAACATTTTATGTTTATTAAAAGGGAGCATGGGTTAAAACCACCATGAGAATTAGGTCATCAAACCATGAACAATAGACTAATATTCCCCCAAAATTCCTACGTTGAAATTCTAATTCCCAATATGATGGCATTAGGAGATGGAGCCTTTCATAAGTGATTAGTGATTCATGAATTGGTGAATGAGATTAGTGCTCTTATCAAAGACGTGCAAGAGATCCACTGCAAGAGAAATCAATTGCAGGAGAAGACACAGAGAGAAGACAGCCATTGTCTGTGAACCAGGAAATGGTCTCACCAGATACTGATTCTGATAGTGACTTAATCTCAGCTTTCCAAGCCTCTAGTACTGAAAGAAATAAATTTATGTTGTTTATAACCTACCCAGTTTATGGTATTTTTGTAACAAAAATTTCTGTAACAGCCTAAATGGACTAAGATACCATCTCTAAGTAGAACAGTCATCCTAAAGTAGTTACAACACAACAAAAACAAGGGAAAGACTTAATTGAAAAATTTCATTCATGAGATGTAATAAACTAGGTGAATTTAGTAATGGGAAATGATTCTGCGAGGGACTTTTAGCATTTTCACCCTCCAGAAGCATGTCAGAAAAATCTAGCACATTATTCCCTGGGTGGGACAGATTTGGGAGAATGCATGCTACCTTATCAGCTCTCTGTCCCTCCCTGGGAGACTGATGCTTCCCAATGCACAACTCAATTCAAAGTAGCAACGTACTCTGAAATTTCATCTCTTTCTTTCTTCTTTCTCTTTCTTTCTTTCTTTCTTTCTTTCTTTCTTTCTTCTCTCTCTTTCTTTTTTCTTTTCTTTCTTTCTTTCTTTCTTTCTTTCTTTCTTTCTTTCTTTTTCTTTCTTCCTTCCTTCCTTCCTTTCTTCCTTTCTTTCTTTTCTCTTTCTCTTTTTTCTTTCTTTTTTTCCTTCCTTCCTTCCTTCTCTTTTTCTTCTTCCTGAGACAGGTTCTCACTCTGTTGCCCAGGCTGGAGTGCAGTGGCATGATTATAGCTCATTGCAGCCTTGAACTCCTGGCCTCAAACTATCCTCCCACCTCTGCCTCCTGAGTAGCTGGGTCTACAGGCATCCACCACCATGCTTGGTTAATTTTTTAAAGTTTTTGTAGAGATAAGGTCTCACTCTCTTGCACAGGTTGGTCTTGAACTCTTGGCCTCAAGTGATCTTCCCACCTCAGCCTCCCAAAGTGTTGGGATTATAGGTGTGAGTCACCATGCTCAACCCAGAAAGTATTTTTATGTAAAAATAAATTATGCAATGGCATTTTATGAACTTCAAAGAAAAATACTTTGTGTTGTTCTCATATCTGAGAATAAAAATGATTAATTTTCTAAACAAAACATATTCTGTTATTTTACAACTTTTCTCAAAATGGAAGGGTTTAAATTGTGATTAAAAGTAGTAGGTAGAGTGTACACCTATGTTCATAGCAGCATTACTTACAATAGTCAAGATTAGAAACTACTCAAGTGTTCATCTACAGATGAATGGAAACAAAATTTATATATATATATATATATATATATATGAATATTATTCAGCCTTAAAAGGGAATGAAACTCTGACACAATACTACAACGTGGAGGCATCTTGCAGACATGCTAAGTAAAATAAGCAAGCCACAAAAAGACAAATACTATGGGTCCACTTACATGAAGTGTCTAAAGTAATAAAATGCATAGAAATGGAAAGTAGAATTATGGTTGCCAGGAGCTGAGGAGAGGGGAAAATGAGGAGTTGTTTAATGGGGATAGAGTTTCAGTTGTGACAGATGGAAAAGCTCTGGACATTGATTACACAACAATGTAATTCACTTAACGCTATTGAACTGCACACTTAAGAATGGTTAAGATGGTAAATTTTATGTTATGTGTATTTTACCACTATTTTAAAAATTAGTTGAAAAATAGTAGGCCAAAATTTGTTTCTAACTATGGCTTCCCACCGCCATTTAGGGGGAGTTTTGTTGTGAAATTTTAGGTGATTTACTTTGTCAAATTTTACTGAGTCATGGGTTTGTTTTCCCATGGAAAAATTACTAAAATAAGGGCATGTGGAAATACATAACACTTAAGTCACTTCCAGGAGAGGTATTGCAAAGGTGTGTCCATAAGACTTTTGACTTTGATGAGATAAAAGCTAGGCTGCCTTTTCTTCCTTCTCACTGCATCCCATCTCCCAGGGCCAGCCCGTTCCTCAAAAGAGTGAAAAACATAGGAAAATTACTGCCTTAACTATCCTGATCTTCATTTTTTTTCCTGTGTAAAATGAAGACATTAATAAACAATGCCTTTCTTGTTAGAAATGTAAAGGTCAAACGTAAAGAAATGTGAAATCCTAAGTCCTGCATGCCTTCTACCACTGATCTAGTCACGTGTGCCAGCTGAACATTCCCTGGGCTGCAAGTGATGTGACTGATGGTTTTATCCCTGGTTTTCCCAGGGAGAAATCTAGACACAGAAATCCTGAAAAATGCCTCTGCGGAAAGGTGGATCCAAAGTGGGTCTTCTAAGGGAAGCTGCAGAATGTTTCTCCCTCAGCCTATAGTTTGACAGAATGCTAAGATATCAAGATGAAACTCTGAAAACCCGAGGATTTTACATGGATTTCATTATTCTATTGAAGACCTACAAAAAAAAGTGGCTGATAAATATATTTTTAGAAATTGCTTTAGTATGATTTTTATTAATTTAAATTAACATTTATTTAATTAACTACATAAAATCTGTGTATAAAAGAGGCAAAAGATTATTCTTGCTCTCAGCCAGACAGTTGCTGATAAGGAAGTTTCGACAGGAATCTCATAGAATAAGAGGGCCCTGACTCAACAACCATCAATATGGTTGGAATGTGGTATTTGCTCTTCCTGGAAACAATGCTTCTCACTCATAGAGTTTATATTCAATGTGGTGTTAATACATAGACCTCATCCAACTATCTGTCTGTGAAATCTGAGTTCCTACTCAAGTCAATATCCTGTAATATGCTAAACAAAAAACCTCCTGTATTAGTTTCCTGAGGCCACTGTAACAAAGTACCACAAACTGGGTGGCTTAAACAACAAGAATGTATTCTCTCACTGTTGTGAAGGTCAGAAGTCCAAAATCAAGGTGTTAGCAGGGACACCCTTCCTTGGAAGGTTGCAATCCTTCCTTGCCTCTTTCATCTTCTTCTGGGCCTTTGCATTTCTTGGTCTGTGGCAGGATAACTCCAATCTCTGCCAGAGGTTACAAATGGCCTTATACCCTGTGTCTCTGTATTTTTCCCTCTTCTCATACAGACACCAGTCATTACACTAGATTTTTGTATGCACTGTAAATCCAGGGTGGTTTTATCCCAGAATCCTTTTTATATCCCAAATATATCTACAAAGATTCTCTTTTCAAATAAGGTCACATTCTGATGTTCCAGGTTGGAATGCTCTGAATGTTTGTATACCCCCAAAATTCGTATGTTCAAACTTTTTTTTTTTTTTTGAGACAGAGTCTTGCTCTGTTACCTGGGCTGTAGTACAGTGGCACCATCTCAGCTCACTGCAACCTCTGCCTCCTGGGTTCAAGTGGTTCTCCTGCCTCAGCCTCCCTAGTAGCTGGGATTACAGGTGCGTGCCACCACGCCCAGTACTTTTAGTAGAGACAGGGTTTCACCATGTTGGCCAGGCTGGTCTCGAACTCCTGACCTCAGGTGATTCACCCGCCTCAGCCTCCCAAAGTGCTGGGATTACAGGCATGAGCCACCATGCCCAGCCCATGTGTTGAAACTTAATCCCCAATATGAGAGTGTTAAGAGATGTGGCTTTTTTTTTGGGGGGGGTGATTAAGCCATGAACACTGATTCCTCATGAATTGGATTAATACCCTATAAAAGAGGCTTCAGGGACCTTGGTCAACCTTTCTGCCATGTGAGGACACAGCGAGAAGGCACCATCTATGAAGCAGTGAGTAAACCCCCACCAAACACTGAATAGGAAGTCATCTTGATCTTGCATTTCCCAGCCTCCAGAACTATGAGCAATAAATTTTCTTTTGTTTATAAATTACCTAGTCTATGGTATTTTTGTTATAGCAGCTCAAATGAACTAAGACACAGATGCGTATAAATTTAGGGAAAAATTATTCAACCCACTATACCTCTTTCCCTTTCACTAATTCCTATTTGATTAATGGTGCCTGTGGTTTATTTAGTGACAACAATATCTATGGTCAATATGTGAGATTCTCAGAAAAGGAAATGTAGCCATCAGCAGCCAACAGAAAGTGGGAGGCAATGGAAAACCTACCTCATTCCCCATGTTAGAGAAAAAAAATCAATACATGAAGACATGAAATAATGCTTTGTGGGTCTGTTTTATTGTAGCTTCTGTATATGTCAATCTTATGCTCAGCTTTCTTCATATCTTATTTTTTTAATTTTAGTATAAAAATAAATGTTTTATTGCCTTCAATTTACCATTATTATTTTTTACATCAGTTGTTCTTTGTGTGTGTGTATGTGTTGGATTTACTTTTCTGGAGTGTGAATGCATGTGGTATGTGTGTATGTCTGTGACCTAAATAAGTTTTTCTCCTGAAAAGAAAACAACATCAACATTTAAAGATGAGGTTAACAGAACTCACTTTATTAAATGCCTGCTATGTGTCCAGGCCTTGAGCTAAGAAATAAGAACAATGATGAATAAAGGCCATTCCTGCTCTCAAGGTGTTTGTAGACTACAAAGGAGCCTGCAACCTTGCAGCAAAACAAAAAAGTAAAGAAACACAAACCACGGAGCATGTTGCACTCAACAGAGGTTCATTCTCACCCATTGTGAAGATGCTGGGAGTAATTGGAACTTTGTTGAAGAAAACAGGGAGATCATTTCTGTTTTGTCTGTGTATCACTGTGACTGCCTAGCACCATGGAGAGAGGGACCCCCTTTCAGAGCACAAACTCTGACCACAGAGGCCCTTGGTCTATCCTTTGTTTTACTCTAAACTTTTCTCAAAATAGTCATGGATGAAGCTGGAAACCATCATTCTAAGAAAACTAACACAGGAACAGAAAACCAAGTATCGCATGTTCTCACTCACAAGTGGGAACTGAACAATGAGATCACATGGACAGAAGGAGGGGAACATCACACAATGGGGCCTATTATGGGGTGAGGGGCTAGGAGAGTGATGGCATTAGGAGAAATACCTAACATAGATGATGTGTTGATGGGTGCAGCAAACCACCATGGCATCTGTATACGTATGTAACAAACCTACACATTCTGCACATGTATCCCAGAACTTAAAGTATAATAAATAAATAAATAAATAAATAAATAAATAAATAAATAACCCTTTGTGAATCTGTACTTCTGGAGAAAAGCCCACACAACTCTGGGACATTAATATGCATCACAAGTAAGATTTTAAAAATAATTTAAAAAGTGTTATTTCTGTTTTTGTTACCTTGTCATTAAATAAGGTTTCTATCTTCCTTGACCTCTCAAGATCAGTGATTTAGCTACATGTAAATGCCTTCTTGCATTGGATTCTTCCCATAAACCAGACTGCTCATTTCTCTCGTGGATTGGGCCTTCTATGACTGCACATATATAGCTGCTTCAGAATAGAAAGCTACTTTCTCTCTTAGCAAGGTACGGCTTTTCCAATGTCCCCTCTTGCTTTGCCAAGTTGAATTCCAAAGTTGTGTTAAATCTCAGCTAAATCAGTGTATTTGCCTTTCCTGCTTATGGCATTAATTGCACTTTACCCATGCTATTATTTTCCATTTAACTTTTTAGACTTCCTAATTCCTTCATGTATTCTGGGATACCATTTGGATATGGAGATATTATGCAAATGATGTAGAAAGGGAATGAACTTCAGCACTCCAGGTCAGAGTTACTTGGCTACTTTTAAGTATTTTTGGCACCTTCTTTTTTGGTCCTTGGGAACCTTGGACAATAAGCTGTTATCCACTTACATTTCTGAATTATACTTACATGAATCTGGTGCCAGAGAAAGTTCTATGGTAAAGAATTAAAAGCAATGATCCCACTGTTTACAATCAGAGCTGGTGACTAATGAGGGTGCCTCTCCTGACTCCTATCCCTCTTGCTAACCTTCCTCAGAGGAGTAAAGTTCATTGAGGCTGAGTATCTTCCAGACTCCTATTTTCTTCCACATAAAACTATACATTGTGAAAAAATTGGATCAGGGATTTTACTCTCTCAGGCATTAACTAGTAATTCATTCACTTTAAGAAAAGTGCAAGGAGAGGGGACAGAATGAAAATTGTAAGCTACCCTTTGGATGGGCTTATGAAAGGCCCATTTACTCACAGACTATAAGAAATGGAATGTGCATATTAACAAAAAGCAAACTGGAATCAGCCATTAAGTTGTGAATGTAGGAGAGGGGATTCTCCATCTTATTTTGTTTTTCCTTTTAACTTAAGAGCCAATTTTGCTAAGGAAGCCAAAATCCCTGTCTGTCTGGCCCATCATAATCGGATGTATGTAGAAGGTAGACAGACAAGGCACATGACAATGGCACAGATGCCCTTGGGTTTATGTCTGTCAAAGGGGGAGAAATTGTTCTTTTAAGATCCAGATTTTGAAGGCAAATAAACAAAAATTTCAGTCCCAAACCCACCTCCTCCTCATTGTGTGGTCTCTAGTAAGTTTCTGAAAATGTTTAAGCTTGGCTTTGTCAGCTAGAAAGTGGCAATAATCATTTAACCCATAAGTACCAGGTCCTGGCTGGATCAGTTGGCATGCTAAAAAAAGGATAACTGAAGAGGGTTTAATCAAGAGTTCATTCAGGGTATGGACAAAGCTAAGGAACCCA
Organism: Homo sapiens; assembly: GCF_000001405.40. Classification (NCBI taxonomy): domain Eukaryota; kingdom Metazoa; phylum Chordata; class Mammalia; order Primates; family Hominidae; genus Homo; species Homo sapiens. The sequence goes on along the minus strand of NC_000021.9, from coordinate 6,916,324 downwards.
CTAGAAGCAATGACGCACCCAGGGACTAGAGGTGGTGAAGGCCATTCCTACCATCAGTCCTGTAGGGATGGGGGAGGTAGGAGCTCTTATCAGAGCACTGGGGAACCTGCACATGGGAGATACTACCCAGCAAGAGCTGCTTCAGTGAGGGATGCTGCCACCGCCACTGCCACATCACTGCCTGGCCAGGTGGGGGTGGAATAAACCCCACTAAGTCTCTTTCCTCTTGCTTTCCAATCCCATGGCAATGTGCTCCATTGGCTGCACTTGACATAAAGTCAGAGGACAAAGGAAGAGAGTGGCCAAGGAGGTGAGCTTCCTTTGCACAAAATCAGGTTAGAAAAGGATGAAGAGTGGATATGGAGGAGCAAATAGATAATTTTCAGCATCTGTCTGTATTAGATGACTGTTGTTTGCCCAGTATCCCTTCTTTTGAGTAAATGCTATGCCTCGCTCCGTAAAACTTGAATGAGGCTGAAATAACATTTACCCTTCTCCAATGACCAGGACCAGAGAACTTCATCACCCTACCCTCTAGCAAATCAATCAAATTCAAATTTGAGATTTAATACAGGGTTTCTGGAAAATAGATAATCTCTTTTTCATTTGGATTATGAGCCATAAGGATGTAGACTTGGGCCAAGCAACAGTCATCTTTCCAATTGTGCAGAAAGAACTAGCCTGACAGCAAAGACAATGCAAAAAGAGCACAGAAGAGTCCAGGAATAGGGAGAAAGAGGCAGGTCCATGGTGACTTTGTTTGAGGCCCTTTGTTTAATTATATCTAAAGGCAGTTATGCTTTTTAACGTTTCAGTAATATGCTTTTTAATATCCTATATTGGAAGAGTGGAAAAAGTTAATAAGGAAATGTGAAGCACCCAGAGGTTAGCAACAACAGAAAGTCTCTATGATATCAGAAATGGAGCACAAAGGGAGGCAATGGCACTACGGGATTCTCTGAGTTGGGGCCTCAGTAGGACCTGGAATCATGGAGAAGGAACTGCTTAGGAAATGCCAAGGCTGCCAGGCTGGAAGCATGGCAAAGACTGCACAACAGGAACCGAAACCAGAGAAGAGATGCTACCTCAAGTACAGAGAGTGAGAAGAAATAGTCTGGCTTCTCCTTCCCTTCCACCCTTTGGATGCCTGCTCCTCTGCCTTCACTTAGCTAAACCTAAGTCTGAGACTAACATTCAGAGCTGAGCAGAAAAAGGGGCAGGGTATGGCTTTCAGAGCAAATGAGTAATACACGTGGTCAGGACATATTCGTTCAGTTTTCCTCTTTCCTTCCAAAATGCATTCCAAACTTTAGTGAAGGATACACAATTTTTTCTAAAATCTCAGAGAATGGGGGTCAGGTTATTTTCTGCTTAGAAACTTGAGTGGGTTACTACATAAGACAAGGCAATTTGGTCTGATATTCAAGTTCATTTAGACTATTGCCATAATTTATGGGCATGAAATAACATGATAGAAAAATGTAAAGGTAAATTGAAATCCAGTCACATTAGGCTACTTGCTCTTTTTGATTAGAGTATATTTTCCTGCACTTGCTAATAATATTCCTTCTGCCAGGCTTACCATCTTCTTCCCCATTTTTCTTTACTGAGATTTTATCTTCACATCACAAATTAAGTGCTATTCCTTCAAGAAACATACTGGCTTGCCCAAACTTTGTTGTATCTCTCCCTTCTTAAACTCTTATATCATTCTCATGGCACTCAACACTTTGGATCTTGTGTTTTAGATATTGAAATTTCTATCATATGCTTTGATAATAGATTGTGATTTCTGCAAAGGCAAAGAGTGATTTCCTCAACTTTGTATCCTTTGGGGTGGGTTTAAATGATCTCTTATACCTACTAGGTGTTTGTTGTAGCAGATGAACACCTGAAACAGTAATTCAGAACCTTAGGTTCTAGTATTTTCTATGTCACATTAGTGTGACTTGCAGAATGGCTCAGCTTAACTTTTCCTATGTATAATGAATTCAGACTAGATGAATTCCAAGGTCCCTCCTGGCCCTTTCAATTCCCTAATTTCAAGTAGAATTTAGAAGAAAAAATTTGTAAGCAGCAATTTTATAGTTCAATTATGGAATTTCTACTTGGGGAAAGCTAACATTTCATGATCTCATTCTTGCTGGATTCTTTCTCAAGATTTTCCATGGAGCTGAAATTTACCCATGACCTTGAGAAAGAAATGCACATGCTTCATGATCCTCACTCCACTTTCTTGTCCTTAATGCTTTTCCTCTGATGATTGCTCATTTCACACCCCAAAAGGAACTCATTTTATAAACGTTTTACAGCGCAGCAAGCAGTAAAGAATAAGAAATTACAAAATATTATATCCTATGAAGAAACACTCTCCTAATGCATCCACAAAGAATCAAGCTCATAATTGCTGGTTTGTCAATTATAATGGTAAAATATGTATTTATATAATACATATGATATGATGGATGCTATTGGAGTGAGTTTGGCATATTTATTTATTTATTTTTTATGGTACTCATCCATGTTTCTGTTTATATATAGGATAACAAATTCAGAAACAATGGGAAAGTAATATATGAAACCTTAATAGAAAATACAATAGAGATCACAAAACACTACCATTTGATTTTTTATGCAAATACTTCAATATTCCAATATTTTTACTCACTTGCTAAATAAAGCACATGACTCGAAATGCTAAATAATTCTGTTAGTCTAAATCTTTTAGATAAAATGTTGGTGAAAAACCAAAATTATTTAGTAAGGTATGTATGACCTTGTTTATTATCTATCATAGACATCAAGATGATCATAGTTAATACCAATTTAAGCTTTATAGAATACTCTTTTAGGCCCAATATTGATATATTAAATGAAGGTTTCAGAGAATCTTGTATTTATGGCATCAGGTTATAAAGATCTATTCAAAACCATTTTTGTCAAAGTTTAAACACTGGAACAAAAGTCAAATTGTTTCTAAATGAGACACAAATGATTCTTGCTAATAGTACAAATTTTGTCCCATGGGTAATACTATTGTCTTTTTCTTTTTTAAAACAATTATTTCAATTTTTTTTTTAGATTCAGGGAACACATGGGCAGGTTTGTTAGCTGGGTGTACTGTGATGTTGAGGTTTAGGGTATGGATGATCCTGTCACCCAGGTAGTGAGCAGAGTCCCCAGTAGGTAGTTTTTCAGCTCTTGTTCCCGCTCCCCACCCTACCTCCCCAGTGTCTGTTATTCCCATGGGTCCTCAGGTATTACTATTTTCAAGTTTTTTTCTTTACATGAAACTACTGAAAGCAAAAGTATGTCATGCTTGTAGGTTACTCTGTACATTTATCATTCTATTAATAAACATCTTAAGTAATTAAGTAGTGTATTAAGGCCATAAACCAAGTCATTATCTCCTATCAAAGGACTACTGTTATTCAGTCGTCTAGAAAATTCATTTTAGGCAGGACACAGTGGCTCACTTCTGTAATCTCAGCACTTTGGGAGGCCGAGGTGGGTGGATCATGAAGTCAGGAGTTCGAGACCATCCTGACCAGCATGGTGAAACCCCGCCTCTACTAAAAATACAAAAATTAGCTGGACATGGTGGTGTGTGCCTATAATCCCAGCTACTCAGGAGGCTGAGGCAGGAGAATTGCTTGAACCCGGGAGGCAGAGGTTGCAGTGAGCTGAAATTGTGCCATTGCATTCCAGCTTGGGTGACAGAGAGAAACTCTGTCTTAAAAAAAAAATTCATTTTAATGGGTTATGTTACAGTGTTGAGGTCAGCCTACAGACACAAAATAGGTTAACTGAATTTTTTTTTCGTAACAGGTTTTAATTTTTTCATTGGAACAGGTTTTGGGGGTGGGGATACTAAATGTGGCAGGGTTCAACAAATTTACATTTTATCAAAATAAAGTTCTTAAAGAATACAATGATAGCATATGCTCTAACTCTTATAGCACAAACCCTCATATTAATTGATGGTCACAGAAAAATACTGTAATGCTTAAACAAAAGTTTTAAAATACATCAATGACACAAGTTTCAAACAAAATGCAGTGATCAAAATACTTAACTGTCCTTTCATCAAGCTTTTACAAACACAATCAGTCTTCGCTGTCTGAGCAAATCAGTTTTAGTTTCTTCATGGTCCTCCATCTGTCTTTTAACATGACACTTGTCCGGTTGTTGAATTTATAATTCCCTCTCCATATTTCCTCATGCCAGATCTCAAATTCTTGTCTTCTTCCTGAAGCCATGCCTGTCTTTTTCTAGCTCGATGTTTTTCAGGAGTTACCGGTTGACTCTTTGAAACAGGTATTCTGCTTTCAGTGGCTCTTCTGCTTTCTTTTTTCTTTTTTGTACTTTGAAGAGTTCCTACTCTTCTTTCTTTCTTATTAAGGTCTTGTTGCTGGGTCCCATGTTGTAACTTAGATAAGAAAAGATTCTTGTGAGACCTTTTTCTTGTATCCAAATTAGCTTCAGTTTCCGTTTCAACATAATTTTCATTAGCTTTATCTTGAGAAGTTATTGTTCTTGTTCTTTTACTTTCTACTACTTTTGCTGCTGCCTTCATTAGAAAGGTTGATGATTTTTCACTTAGCACATAATTCACATAACTCTTAATTTTCTCCATCATGTGATTGTAGCTGAAGTGTTGAAAAAAGGAATGAAATGTATCTTTCTGAGAGATTATCATAAGCAATTTGCTTTTGAGAGGCATATAAGAATTTGGATCACCAAATATTCTTTCAAAGACTTCTGCTTCTTTAAAGTTGCCATTTTCCATACAAACGGCTATAGCCTGAATTTTAATTAAATTCTGTATTTCTTCTTGAAGTTTGTCATGTTCCTTTTCAGTTGAACCCCAAATCATCAGGGCTGATTCCAAGGGTGTAATTCATTCATCATTTTCAAACTGTGCATCAAGGGTTTTTCCTGCTGCAATTCTTGTCAAAAACTGACATATGTATATCGTTCTCAACTGGTAAGCTGTTAGACTGGATAGTCCATGAATAATAGCCTCTGCCCTGTTGCGGATCCTGCAGAAGTCCTCCGAGCGGCCGTCGCGGAAAGCTCGGCAAAGAGAGAAGCGGAGGAAATCGAGCATCCAGCCTGCAGCCACGGCCTCGGCCTTGGCCACCAGGCCCGCGTCCTCCTCCTCCTCCTCGGGGGCCCCCACCTGCACCTGGCACTTGAGCCGTTCCTGGCATTCGAACTGCTCCTCGTCGTTTCTCTCTGTTTCTGCCATCTGCTCCTCGGTAGGGTCGGCATCTCTACCATCCGCCGGCATATTTATTACAATTTATTTTTATGAAAAAAGATTTAAAAAAGAAATGTCTGCCCTAAGCAGTTTCATGAAAATGGATAAATACAAAAGCAAGCACAAGAGTATTCAGTAGAGAATTTTGAGCCTGAACAATCAAGTTTCAGGCAAATCTTGTGTGGTTCATAATTTTAGCCCTTTATTATGCAAACCTGCCAATTCAATTTTCCAATGCAAGAAATGTTGGGGGTGATTATCAAGTTATATTTACTGTTCTGTGGATCTACTAAAATATGCACTATCTTGAAAGAGTCTGTTCAAATTACCTTGGAACACACTTTTAGATCCTCTTTTGTAAGCAAAAGTTGACAGACTAAAATGTATTCTTTTTTAACTGGCATCAGCATGTGAGACTTTAGAAAAATTGGTAGAGCAAATAATGATTCTGTTGCAGAGCCAGACAAATAACTTCCAAATCAACAAATTCAAACAGAGAAAAAAAGTTGTTGATCTTAGATGAATTGCCACATGTTGCCACTTCCTTTCACATGTGTCTTGGTAGAAAAACTCTCATATAGAATTTTTCCCACCCATCAGAAGAAAGTAGTTATTATCTCAATTTCCTATCTCCTCTTCTGCATCTCACGTTCTGAGGAGATAAATATTAGAATCTCAAAGTATCCACTGCTAAAACCCAGAGATAAGGGGTTGAGATGCAAGTTGGAAAAACTGGGAAAGTATTAAATTCTGGACCTCTCTTCCCCCTCTGGCTTCTCTCTCATCTCTCTCACTCTGTCTGTCTGTCTCTCTCTTTCTATCTTCCTTCCTCTTTCTAAAAGACCTTGAAAGAGTTTTATGTATATGCAGAATCAAATTTCTCTCCTCTCTTCTTCTCTCTTCAGTGCACTCTGTTCAGGCTTCTGTTGTCATCTCTCCACCAAAACTGTTTTAGTCAACATCGTCGATGACCTCAATGCTACTAACACCAAAGTTCTAGTTTCAAGCTTTGTCTAACTCAACTCTAGCAGCATGAAACACAACTTATTACTCTCTACTCCTTGAAGCATTGTCTTGTCTTCCAGGAATGTACACTGCCAGTGTTCCTTCTCTTATTGCCTGCTCTTTTTCAAGGTTCCTTGCTGGCTCCTCTTTTTCTTTCTGACAAATAGAAGTATTTCATGGCTCAGGCCTTGAAACTCTTCCCTTATCCATCTAACTATCCATTCACACTCACTTTCTTCATGAGTTCATCTAGTCTTGTGATAACTTCTAAATACATAACTTTAGTCTCAGCCTCTTTCCTGAGATATAGACTCAGAGATCCAGCTGACTACCTGATGTCTCCACTTGAATGTTCAATGGCCATCTCAAAGTCAACATGTCCAGAACCAAGCTTCTATATTCAATCCAGCCTCCCCAAATTTGCTTCTGCTCAGCCTGCCCCAACTCAGTGGATGGTGATATCATTGATCCAGTCAGGACTAGGACAAGAGTGAAGTAAGCCAACCACTTAGGCACAAACTTTAAGGCATTCAGAGCATCAAGGAAGTGCTGACCTTGCTTTTGCATGGCTATGCAAGGGCCTCCTTAAATTGTATGCCCTCAGCATCTCACTTGGCTCACCCTAGTACCAGCCCTGCTTCTTCTTGCTCAAGCCAAAAACTTCAGCATCATCCTTTATGCCTCTGTTTCTCTCACTGTCTCTTCCAATCTACCAGGATATCCTATTGGCTCTACCTTCATTAATATTAAAGTGTTTGATCCAGTTATTAAAGAAATAATTAGATATATCAAAAGAAATGGAGGAGTTATTATAAAAATATAATTCTTGTCCTAAAGAAGAAAAACCAAAAGTCTGCTCTTATTTTCACAAAGGCAGGGAACTAATAGAAGATAGACATACTGTTTCAAGGTGTTTAAAAAAATTAATAGACTTTGATTTTTAGACCAGTTTTAGGTTTTCAGAAAATGTGAGCAAAATATATGGGGTTCCTGTATACTCTCTTCCCCCACCAGCCTCTGGTTTTTCCTATTGTTAACATTTTGTGTTGGTGTGGCACATTTGTTACAACTGATGAACCAATATTCATGCATTATGATTAACTAACATCCACAGTTTATATTAGGATTTAGTCCCTGTGTTGTACGGTTCTATGGGCTTTGCTAAATGCATTATGTCATATATTTCCCATAACAGTATCTTAAAGAATAATTTCACTGCCCTAACAATCTTCAGGGGCTTATTTCCTCTCAGCTAGCAGTGACATCTTTAGGTACAAGTACACACCACCTATAACAACTTAATTTATTGCATTCTAGGCAAGCCAGGGCAGGGACTGAGGACAGTGACAATGTCACCTATCTTCCATTCAGGAGCCTGTGTTTGGTGCAGAGCCCAGGGTTCCTAGGTCCAGCCTATATGCTCCAATGGTGGTTTCCTACACTCAAAGACAATGAACTTGCAGATGCATCACAAACACCTGGTGCTCTGCAAAGCTGTCCTGATTCCTCCTAGCAACATGAGATGCCACATTTTCTTTACTCTAAGGTGTCAGGCACATGATCATGGTATTCATCAGGCTATCTGATCCTCTGATTATATGTCAGTCTCCCAGACTAGATCAGGGGCTTTTCAAGGGCAGAAGCTCCATCTTAGTCATCTGTGTCTTCCTCAGGGCCTGTACTTGCCATTTGTTGATGATATGAAAAGAGTTGGGGTTGTGAGGGGGAGGAAGAAGGATAGTGGAATGAATAAAGGGAAAAGAGGGAAAGAAAAAAGACAGGGAGATAGGGAAGGTGTTGGTGCCCATGCCCTCGGTCACAGGTCACTATGGGTGGGCACAGGTGTTCAGCACCAGAATGACAGGAAGATGAGCAAGAGAGGGCATCTCTGAGTCAGGGCTGGTGCATTTCTCACACCCAACAATCCAGCCACATCACTGACGAATCTGGGATGTTGTACTTTTCCCCACCAGCAGCCCTAGTTGCACGTGACAGGCTATCGCCTGCTATTGCACTGACTTCATATATTCCTAGTACCTCAGGGTTAATGAGTTCTCAGTTACGTGGAACAGCTTTGTTTGATAGGTTACTCTAGTTTTATATGTAAGAAAGCTTAGTGTTCTTATATTATTTAATATATTGATTTGCTACATTGTATAAAAAGACAAATAAATGAGACTTCTTTAAACTGTCTTAGAAGAAGTCTCAAGTCTCCTGTGGCTCTCAAACCTCAGTGTGGACAGGCAGTTCACGACATTTGTTGTCCATAGTGTACTTGTTTGGACAGTTTCTCAATTTCCAAACAGCAGTGATGTTTTTTTGCAACAAATAAGTTACAAAACAAAATATTTCACGTTTTGTCCTCCCTCTGATAGAAATCTTTGTGGTCCTAAACAATTAAAGCTCCTTAGTTTAAATTGGAAGTATTATTAAGGAAAGTTGAAATTTTATGAAAGTGATTAAATTGAAGATTCAAAAATGTGTCTACATTTGGGAATATTGATTATGACTTTAATGTTAACTTTTTTGATCTGATACCATTTCCAAAAATTTAACCTACAGAAATACTAAAACATATGTGCAGTTATAGGTTAAAAGAATATGATGAAATTATTTGCAGTAGGACAAAATTTAAAACAATTCAAATGGTTTTAAAAGAGGATTAAATAACTATATTCAATGATGAGTAAGTAGTAGGTTAAAAAATGAATTATTTTGAATAATAAGAAAAATAAAGATTCTAAGATACGTATTCAGTGAAGAAAGTTTCAGGATCACATGTTTGCTATTATTTCATTTTTGCAAAACAAACAAACAAGAATAAAACCAAAAGCTACACACGCACGTGTGCGCGCACACACACACACACAGTGCAAGACACTTGTGAATTGAAGGGGGTAATGTTAATATTCACACAGGAACCATCAGCATGATATAGGAGTGTCAAGAAAACCAGGATCTATAATCACCTTAATTTAATGGACTTTATATTCTGTATTATACCTTACTATCTATAAGAATAAAATTAAATTTTCCATACTTAAAGTATCTATAAAAAATTGAGTAAATTGTAATCTTGGATCTCAAGTCCAGTTCCTCTAGTTCTCTCAGAACTATCTCCCTTCATTTCAAAGTTCATGGATTGATTTTTGGTTTTCCTAAAATGTACCACTGTATTTTAAATTTACACATCACCAGGGCATTCTTTTTTCTTGTTCTCTTATTATTAGAACATACATTTAACCCCTTCTGACAATCTAGTCATTGTAAACCTCCCAGCTTTATCAACTGTCATCTTCCAAGTACTCACAGTGCAGATTTCTGGTATTATAATGGCCTTAAATTTTTTCCTTTGGATTTTTTTGAAAATAAATTACGGTGTCTATTTACATGGATAAAGAGTGACCACTGTCTTTGGCTGGTTCCTGTTGATAATGAGGTCAAGGCAGGGGCCTTCACTGAATTCCCACATGTGCTTGGTTGCAAGTCACACTCAGGTGACAGACAGTCTTGCAGTTGGTGCTGCTGGTCACATGAAGACTGGGAAAGAAAATGTATCAGATCAAAATAAACTTATTTCTCTTGCAAAAAATAACAACTCGAGGCACATGCATTATGAATATTGGGTCAGAAGCATTATCTTCATATTCAAAGACTAGCATATAATTATCAAGAACAGAAATGTAAAGAACATAAACAGCTTGATGATAGAATTGGTACACGTTTATTATTAGAAATTCTATTTGAAATCCAGAGAAGAGTAACTGAACAGAGAAAAACACAGATATTAGATGACAAAGAATATGAGAAAATTTCAACTTTTTTTTCCAATTGAATTTAACAATGGAAATCAATCAACTCCATAGTTGACTGATTGATTTGCCTCTGCCGGGATGTAAATTCACAGAGATATTCTTTCTGCCATTGTGCCAATCTGTGACACAGCTAGCCTAGGATTTATATGCTGTGCTTGTCAATATCCTTCAGAAATGCCCAGCAGAACACAGGCACATGTATTCTCCTTCAGCAAACACTCATGGAATGTGAAATCAGACTTCTACTGGTACTGACTCATCTGGAGGGCTTGTTATGAGGCCTCATTCAGTATGAGGCAAAGGTTGTGAAGTTTGCATTTAAGTTTTTAAAAAGCTATGTATAAAAAGTGGCCACCATGATGATTAAACACATTATATTGTACCCTTATAAAATTTGAACAAAAACCACAAACTTCAATGACAATAAGTAATTGGTCTTACTTCGTCTGCTCATTCTGAAAAAACTGAGTCTTGTCCTATGCAACAGGGCTGGAACAGTTGCAACATGCATCAGTTGGAACATGTTTAGAAGTTAATGGATAGCATTGGTTTACATTTCATATAAGACAGAGTAAATTAAGGACACATTTCTAGTATCTTCAGATATTCAAACAAGTAAATATTTCATATATCTCAGTTTGCTCCATTGTCAAACACATTTTCATTTTGATAAAAATGTCTCAAAAATGCCTTAATAATGTGTGCTTTGGTGAGGGAAATTTGGAAATAATGAACGTGAGCTAATCCTCTGTTTGTGACTGAAGGGTCCTCACATGAAATCGTCACCTTTGGAGCCGTGCTTTTATAATGTGATGCTCACTGGATTTTTGAGATATAATGCCTGTCCCTAAACTGAATTTCCCCAAACTGCTTTATAGTTGTTGATTTCACTACCAGTGTCCTCTCCTTCACTCTTATTTTGCATTTCAGTGTACCAAATTTACAACGTTTTTGTTGGTTTTGTTACCAACAGAAACATCAGGTGAATTAAAAGATACCGAGATAAGTACTCATCAAACTAAAAAGGAAATGCAATTAGATGTTATTTTTGCCAGAGGGTGGGTGGGCAAATTTACCATAATGCATTGCATTAGTTGTCAGTATGGAGCATGCTTCAGAGTCATCTGGAAGGCTTGTTAAAATGCAGGTTGTTGGGTTCCACCCCAGAGCTTCTGATTCAGCAGATCTTGGGTGAGGCCTGAGAATGTGCATTCCTAGCAGTTTTCCAGTGGATGCTGCCCATCTGAGGACTACACATTGAGAGCTACTTGCTGTAGAGAAAACTGGAATGGGGACAGTTTAAAGAATCAGTAAGAGTTTAAGGTTTCAGTAAATGTTTGGAAGTCTGCAAGTAGAAAAAGGGGAATGTTAATTTTCTCTTCACATATTGGGCATTACATGTATGGAACTCTAACACAAAGAGGGAGAGCTGTGGGAAAAAATCAAGGGATTTGTCTGAAATGATAGAGTTCCATGTTAGTTCACAAAATGATTTTGGGAAGATATTTTAAATAATTCCAACACTACAAACTGATACCACATCAGGCAACCTCGCTCTCCAAAATCCACTCATGTTGCTTTTGCACTAGGCTGGCCTGGATGGAGCATTGGTTGGACCCCATGTGGCGTTCCTAATGTCTCTATATTCTAACGCATTGGTTGCCAATAAAGTGCTTTGCCAACAGATTTTGTTCTGAGATAGTGCACAGCGCTGAAGAGAAAATAACTTTGCAAATCCAGTGATTTCATGGGCCACTAGGCTTTCTGGATTCTCTATTACCAAGTTTATCTTTTGTTCATTTAATGCATTGCAAACAACATTGAATTAGTTTGTTGGACAATTAGGTAAGATATTAAACTAATGATATACATATAAATATGTCAAGTCATTATTTTAAGAGTACATCTGTAAGTCATAGTTGGAGAAGGCTTTTTCTTGTGAACCCTGTAAAGGCTTTTCCCCACAACTCTAATAGTTCAACAGGTACCAACTTTTATAAATAATACTTCTTTTTCAGAGGTGTTCACAAGTGAGAAAAAGAATTTTCTATAATGGATGTTTAAAAAAATCAGTTCCAAGGAAATTAATTCTTGTAAACCTCCCAAAATAAACATCAGGAAATTAAATTGGTGTTGGTTTGTTAGTAGAATGAACATCCCCAAAGAAATCCAAGATTGCAAATGTTTTAGCTCAGACCTAGTTTCTAGTCTCTGAAAGACCCTTCCTTCCTGAGCTATGACCACCTACAGCCCTCCTGCAGCTTCACCATTGCCTCGACTTTCAGCACGAATCCTGCAATGATGCTAAGGAGATTTACATGACTACGTGTCTGCCAGCTGTGGTTTCATCATTTTTCTTTGTCTCTGAGCTTATGCAGAGACAATACCCTGGCTCTGGTAAGTGGATCTCAGTCTGTTCCTTAGTCTCCTCTCCCGGCACCCAAGTCTGATTTTTGAGCTTCAGCTTGATCCTTTTTTTTACCTGTCATCGTCCTCAGGAAGGGATTCCCCAGTCCTGGATCCTGGACCATTGTCTTGGACCCTCTGAAATGACAAATATTCCTAATTCCAATTTGCTATCTTTCTTGTAAGGATAAATTGTCTTGTACTGCATCCATCTGTTTGGACAGGTCAAAACTTCATTTGCAACCCTTCGTGGATATCTACTTACCTGCACTACAACCTGCTATCACTCGATCTTGTTGGACACACTACTGTAGTCTTGCTTTACATCTGTGATGGAATCCAGCCATCCAGATCCTATTCAGTAATAGAGCATTTTCTCAAATCCCAGCCCTTTCTCATCTGAGCTACATGACAATAAGTAATTGCTCTTACTTGGTCTGCTCATTCTGAAAAAACTGAGTCCTTACTGAGTGGAGTTTCATAAGGACTGAGTTCTTATGGAACCATATTATGCATGGGAGTGATGGACATGAACAAGGTACAATTTCTCTCTTGAAGAAACTCATTCTTTTTTTTTTTTTTTGAGACAGAGTTTCACTCTCTCACCCAGGCTGGAGTGTAGTGACATAATCTTGGCTCACGGCAACCTCTGTCTCCTGGGCTCAAGCGATTCTCCTGCCTCAGCCTCCTGAGTAGCTGGGATTACAAAATTAGCCTGCCACCATGCCAGACTAAGTGTTTTTTTTAACTTTTAGTAGAGACAGGGTTTTGCCATATTGGCCAGGCGGGTCTCCAACTCCTCGAGTGATCCGCCCACCTCAGCCTCCCAAAGTGCTGGGAGTACAGGCATGAGCCACTGCACCTGGCTCATTTTTGAAGACAGAGCAAACAAACAAACAATTGAAATGCAGTTTGAGTATTCCTTATCCAAAATTCTCGGGACAAGATGCGTTTTGGATTTTTAAAAAATTTTTCAACATTTGCATTAAACTTACTGGTTGACACCCCAAATTCAAAAATCAGAAATCTACAAAGCTTTAATGAGCATTTCCTTTTGAGTATGACCTTTGAACATTGTGTCAGCATTCAAAAAATGTGAATTTCAGATTTTTGGATTAGGAATGCTCAACCTATACAATACTTTAACCATACATTCTGAGAACCTTTCTCAAAAGTGTATAGTAGAAGAGGTCAGACAACCGTCCTTCCATAAACATTCATTCTATCATTTGCTCAAACCCCACTGTGTTTCAGGCATTTTGTTAATATATCGGGAATGGACCCAGAGGGCCTTTCTGAGACTTGTGAGTTAGACCCAGGTACTCACCCAGGCCCAGATCATCCATGAACTTTTGCCTTCAAATACCAATGATAATTTGTCTTGTGGTCCTAAGATGTTAATCAGAGCTGCTTATAATAGACAGCCTCTGAAACTGTCTTCTCTCCCCAGTAGCCCCAGGTGGTCTACCCTGGATCCTGATGACATTAGGTTGGGGGGTTGTAAGTGCAGTCACTTTGTTGCCAGGTCCACTTTCTTTCCAGAACCTCTGAATCAAATGTCAGCCTGTTTTCATTGTTCCCTACCTGATTAGCTGGAGCTGGATATACCAAAGGAATGAAAGTTTTCTGAGCTGACTGCACTGATAAACCTAGAAGGAGACCATAGTGATAAATGCTTCATAATTTTCAGAAGTCAGCATTAACTGCTGAGTAGCAGAGTGGACTTAAATTTGTGTTTTCAGTGGAAATGATCACCGTGATGTCCTTACTGCCTCCTAACTCATGAAAGGAACAACTGGCTGGCCCCTGGAACTCCTTGCATGACTGGTGATTGCCCATGGACTTCTAAAACACTCTTTACTCTGAGATGTGAATGTTGCCCACGGCCTTCAGCTGGTGGATGATATCTGGGCCTGAGATGACAGTATCAGGTATTTCTGAAGACATCCTGGGGAAATGTGGGAATTGCCATGGTGCCTCTGAGCTTACCTCTAGAACAGACACTTTGATAAGTGCTTTTGCTTCTTTCTCTGAATTCTAAATCAGCCCTAGAATGCTGGATGATAATTCTGAAACAAGCCCTACCCAGTCGATCTTCCTGAAGTTTCATGAGGATTCTGAAGAGTGGTGACAGGTGTTGGACTAAAATAAGGGAGGAAGGCCGAGGTGAGGAGAGCACTCAGAGACAGTGGGTGGACAGACGTCATCCAGAGACTTGCAGAAAATAGGACCAAAGCCATGGCCCCCGACAGGAGTGGCAATCCTAAGTGCAGTTTTAGTTGCACTTTTGAGATAATGAAAGTACAAAATCAGTCACTTAATCTCTTTTAACATCAGTTTATTAATCTGCAAAACATTAACATGCTACCTCACAGCATTCTTCCCATATAATAAGAAACAGCGTGTTAAAATACTAAACAAAGTTTAAGAAGTGATGCAAATATACTGTTAGGGTAGATTGTAGATTATAGTTCTATCACTTATCTCTTTCTTATTTTCTGAGAAGCTCTTATGAACATTGATTTAATTATTTCTTTTTCCTCTTTATTTATGAGCATACATGTCTTATTCAAGATTTAAAATATCACTTGGAAATTAACAAGGGGTTTCACAAATATAGTCGTATTCCTTATTTGTTCACAATATTTTGTCCCAAAATGTTGCTTTTAAAGAAATAAAAGAACTACTTCTAAAATTGTGGTAGATTCAAGGCCGACTATAAACAAATGCTCACCAGCCAACAGAAGAAATCTATCCTGCAATATGAGTGACTTTCCCAGTATACCATGATAGTTCCTTAAAGCTGTTATGAATTATTCCATAAACCTGTATTTAGAGACTTTTTTTTTGAATATCTTTTTAATGACTTAAACACCAGCACGGAGACTCGCGATGTAAACAGCCTCATTTCTCTGCTCTGTGCTTTGGGAGGGACAGGGACGCCATTTCCCTCCTTGGCTGAGATAAAACCTGTCTTGTAAATTAATAAATAATTTCATAACATGGCAAAAAAAAGAAAAAAAAATCCAAACGAGACCTAGTTTCCATCCAGGGACGGGATGTTTCTGGACACCCCCGGTTGCTGCTCCTCCTAAGGGCCTGGCTGTGGCTACTGCAGGGAGGATGTAGTGAGAATGGCTTCCCTTCTGCTGTTTGCTGCTGTCTACACCAGCCAAGAACCTGCTCACGTCTGCCCGGGCTGATGGAGTCTCACTCTTGAGAAAAATCTTGCTGGGGCAGGTCCTCTGGCAGCCCCAGCACCTTACCCTGAGTCATGGGAACTTGAGACTTTGTCCAAACCTTGGCTGGAAGGCTAGTCTTGGCACTCAACGTCTTAGCTAGTGGATTTATCACATTAAGACTGTACCTGGGCCTTTTTCATGATGACTTAGGTCCCAATCCTCGGAGCAGCTGAAAAAAGAGCTAGCGCCACCTGTGGATGCACCCACAATGAAATCAGAGGCCACGTGAGGTTTGCAAGGTGGAGTGGCCTGTAGTTTTAACTCGGACACTATGGCAATGCAGACCCAAACCAATTGTGCCAGTTCTTGCTGGGTGGCAAAGTGTTGTCAGGCTTTGTGGTCACTCCTGATTTCTGTTTGGAAGCACAGTTCTCTTTCTAATGAGAATGGAAAATTGGAAAGGCCTGTAAAATTGGAAAGCCTGTAAAAGGCCGTAGAGTGGAGATGTATAAAAATGTACAGTCACACATGTTTTAGGGGTCGAAACCATGGACTTTTATCTCGCTCACCAACTTCCTCACACATACAGCTCACTCCCTGTGGCCTCAGCCATCTCAGGCACTACAGAATCCTCACTGCTTGAAATTCACTTACGGAGTCCAACAAACAACTTTCTTTAAAAAAAAAAAAAAGGCAGTAAAATCTCAGAATTCCTGTGCAATGCTTGCAACCTGCCCACTTATTAAATAAACAGAACACCAAACTAACCAAAAGCTATGCAAGTGGCAGGCTGCCCTGAGCAGAGCCCTGCCTGTCTGCCAGGGACTATGGTGGCACAGGAGCAGGTCGTGATCATGCTGGAAGAAATGAGAGGTGGTTTCATTCCCTGACTTTCAAACTCTCATCTCGGGAGCCCCCAGTCCTAACACTGTATTCAGCAGCTGGAGTTACCTGGCCATGTAAAAGGACAAGGGAAGGCAGACCGTCCTCAACTTCTTCCTGTGTTTCTAGCAAGGAAGGAACGCAATGGCTTCAGTCCCTCCACCTCTAGGTAACAAGGCAAAGGCCTCCGTAACCCAGGCAGACAGGATGTGGGGAAGGTCTTGTGTCTTTTCCTAACTCAGAATTTCTGAGTCAGTGGGCTTCCCGGAGAAAGACTGTCCTCTTGGCATGTGACCCTGAAGGCTTCTAGCACCAAAGGCTCGCTAACACCTCAGACCCTGTCTTCAGGTAAAGGGGATGGGAGGCAGAACCCTTCTCCTGATTGGTGCCTGAAGGAGGCAAGAACGAGCATCTGCTATACCCCAGCCTGATTTCCCCCGTCTCAGCAGGAGAGGGGAGAGGTGAGGGTGCAGATGTTCTGGGCAGGTCAGTGCAGTTCGATGAATGCCTCCAGATCTTCCGGGATGAAGCCCTTGTAAGGGATCTTGTTCTTATCCAGGGCCTGGGCTGCAAGGCACTGCAGCGTCACGTAGTTGAAGGGCTGCATGGTACCCCTGGCCAGCAGCTTCTCTTCCAGCAGCTCGTAGGCCGTCTTCTTGAAGGCGTTGGTGGCGTCCATGTGGGCCCCTGCTTCAGTCAGGGCATTCACGATGGCCGGGCAGTTGTTCTGGGCTGCTATGTGTAGCGGGGTGTTGTTGTCAAAATCCCTGCTGTCCCGGTCGGCCCCGCAGTCGAACAGCACTTTGACCACGTGCAACGAGGGGAATCTGCCCACGGGGTAGCGGCCCACGTTTGTGGTGTCCTTGTCCACAGCCATGTGCAGAGGCGTGAAGCCGTTCTTGCCCCTGGGTGCGCACTTGAGCAGGCGATAGATGGTCTGGTGCTTCAGTTGCTCCTGGCTGGGGGTGCACTCCACTTTCTCCAGCAGGTAGAGCAGGTGGAGGATGATGGCCAGCGCCTTGTTGAACTGGGCCGAGTCTCTAGGCTCCCTGAGCAGCTGCAGGGCCCATTCCACTTCCCGGACCCCTTTGGTGAGGACCCCCATGAGGTCTGCAAAGCCGATCTGGGTGCCCAGGCTGCCTTTGGCAGCCGGGTCCTGCAGCACGTAGGAGAAGAGTTCGGCGAAGGAGAGGAAGCTGCTGGCGCTCATGGGGGTCAGAGGCTCCAGGTTGCTCTGTTGCATGTCCAGGGCGTACTTCCACAAGCGGATGTAGCACTCGATATTCCCCGAGTCGGCGTACACTGCGCCCCTGTAACGGATACAATAGGAAGTGTCGGGGTGCGAGGGACTGAGGATGCGCTCCCGGATCAACAAGGCCTGCATACGCATCTCATCGGCGTCGGTGATCAGCGCCTCCAGCTCCTCGGTGGTGTTGACCTCCCTGGAATAGTCATAGGCCAGGACCAGCTGTGGGGGCTCCAGTTTGGGCAGGTACTCACCCCCCTGGTGACGCAGCTCCATGGCCCGCCTCCAGTGTTTAAGGGCCCCAAGCAGATCTCGTTTCTTATCCACATAGGTAGATCCCAGCAATTCCAAGGCTTCCATGGCAGCTTCCCGGCTGGTGGGACAGCAGCTTTGGTAAGATTCCCCGTTCAGTACCTCAGGGGAGAAGATGCAGCACGGAGCCCCCTGAGGCTGCGCACACCCCTGGCTGGTGGAGGAGCCTTCTTGGGGCAGCCTAAGCTGAGCCTCTACCCCTATGAGCTGCTCCTGGCCGGGCTGCTCCTGGATGAGGTACTCCACGATGTTGGTGTGGCCCGTCACGCTGGCCGGGAGCAACGGGGTCATGCCGTAGCTATCACGTTCCATGCTGGCCTTGCACCCCAGCAGCAGCTGCAGGATCTCCAGGCTGCTGGTCTCGGCACAGTTGTGCAGGGCCGTGTTGCCCTTGGCGCTGCGCCAGTTCACCTGGGCGCCCTGCTCCAGCAGGTAGCGGGCGATCTCACGGTGGCCCTTGTAGCACGAGATCATGAGGCACATGTGGCCGTGCCGGTTGGCCACCTCCAGGTTGGCCTGGTGCTCGCCGACCAGGTAGCGCACCACCTCCAGGAGGCCCTCGAAGCAGGCGGCGCGGAGGGGCGTGGAGTTGGTGCGCGTGGTGCAGTTCACCGAGGCCCCGCGGCGCAGCAGGCTCCGTACCACGTCCAGGTGGTCCGCGCCCACAGCGGCGGCGCACCCTCCATGGTCTCGCCATCGAAGTGCACCGAGCCACCGGCCTCCACGCTCGCGCCGCACGGGTCCACCAGGTACTCCACCACGTCCAGGTGGCCGTAGCAGGCGGCGATGAGCAGCGGCGTCCCCCCGCCGGCCACCTAGCCAGTCAGCTCGTCCAGTTCCTCCCGGCTCCGGCTGCTGAGCAGCTTCTGGAGCAGCTGCCCCCTTGCCGTCACGGGCGGCGTTGTACACGGCGGTGCGGAGGTCTTTGGTTCGGGCCTCCGCCAGGCCATGAGCCGGCCGCAGGGGGAGGGGGAGACAGAGGATCAGAGCCCAGACAGGCGGGAGCCAACCTTCACCGTCTCCCTCGCCGCCATCTTAGGGTGTCCTAGAGACTTTTAAATATGCAGATCATTGACCTGAGAAACCATTTCGTCTCCAAAGGAACATTTGCAGGCTGTCGTGCAAATCTGCACTTGAGCAACTTTCACATTATGATCTTAGTGAATTCTTGACCAGATGGACTTGAACAGCTGCCACCCATGCTTGGGAAGTCGCTTTACTTGAGAAAAGAAAATAGCTCATTTGTTTGCAATTCTTTCCTGAAAGTACATAAGGGCAATTTTCTACATTGTGAACTAGTATCAGAGCAACATTTTCCCTGAAAGACCATAGCTCATTATACTATTTAGGAACAAACAAACAAAAATATATACAAACATTTTTTGGGGAGTTTTATAATTTGTGCCTAGAAGGGACAAGTTTCTTTTCAGATTAAGTTTTAAAAAATGTTCCTTTATTCGAGCTGACATGGAGGTTGTAACTGAGAAAAACCTCCCTCTGAAATTAGAATGCCTTACATTTGTATAACATTCTATACTTTTCAAAGTGCTTTCAGGCACATTATTTCATCTGATCTTCAAAACAGCTCAGTGAGGCAGGTAAAGTGGGTGTTCTTATTCCTTACTGTTTAGATAAGGAAATAGGTTCAGACTACAGATATTATCTGAGTATCTACTAACTTCATTGTATTGTGCTAGGTGTCATAGAGGATAAAATAACATGTATTCCTAAAAGAAGAATCTTGGTTTTAGATAAGACATAACAACACAAAGCTAAATAATACATAAATGTACAATATGGTCAAAAGATGACAAAAGACAATGTATGGTCAAAGTATTAGAAACACAAGCAAACTGTGTTCTCAGATTAAGGGAGACTTCTTAAAGAAGGTGCTACTCGAATATATATGCCTGGAAGGAGGTTTGGAATTTGTGGAATATTTACTCTTTGGCATCAAAATCACTTTCTCATATAACCTTAGAGTATAAGAGATTTTGGCATTCATCTAGTTTGTTCTGATACTCGATGTTGGCACTCCCTATGGCCCCCTAGGCAAAGATGTTGGAATAGCTATGAGTCTTAACAATTCTATCTATATGCAGCTGCAATCTCCATTTCTATAATTCTACCCTTTGTTGACCAGAGTAAAACAAGACTAATCTATTTTCTCTTTCTGTGGAAAGCCTTTACTATGTCTGTAGTCAGCATGACAGCTTGATCTGCCTTTAGTCTTTTCTTCTTTTCATTAATCTTAAAGCTTCTGGAGATACAGTCATTATTTTACTGCTGAGCCCCTATTTTATTTATCCAAATTATCTATAACTTTGGCCATCCCAAATTGATACACTATTGTAGATATGCAGATTTGAATGAGGCTTTAAAAACTATTGTTATCTTTTTAATTCACTGCCAGCATGTCTGTTAATACTGCTAGTTGTGAACATTTCTCAATATAAAGTAACTTTTGTGTAAAAGTTGCATAATTAATATGCCTGGAATGAGTTATGAATGTCTTCCTAAAGAACAAAGGCCACCTTCATTGTGATGGCTTTTTTCTTTTTCTTTCGTATTTTTGTTAAGCCATTCATGATCTGTGCATGCCTGCACAGATGATACTTGCTTAAGGAACTAACACCAAAGCTCTAATATAGTAATAATCTTTGGTATTTTGTTTCTCATCTTTATTACTGGGAAAGTAAAAATTAATCACTCATGTAAATTAATAGTGCAATACTGACCTCTGGTATGTAATGATGAAATTGCTTACTGGATGAACTAGTGGATGCTTGGGAAGAGTTTTATGTTTTAATATAAGAACATCTTTCTCCAAGCAAAGAAGCTTCCTAGGCTATAATTACAAATGTGGAAATTGGGAAACGTAAAACTAACTAACTGAATGTAAAGAATGTATCTATGGTAGTTTATAGTAGTGGGTAAGTAAAAAAGGAAAAGAGAGAACAACTGACACTAGAACTGCCCCATTCAAAAGCTTTTTTTACAATTCGGCCATCTTTTAAGAAACTAAACACAGTGAGTTGAGAATAAATGATGTACCCTCCCTCACTTGACTATATTTGAATTGGACTTAAAAAAAAGAGGCTGTTTTGAATTTCTGTGAGTCATCTCAGGTGGTAGATGTGTTTTCATTGCCTGCCACTCCCCAAAGTGCCTCTCCATTTACTTCAGACACAAGGTCCCAAAGTCATAATTTTCTAGTCTTATTTGCTCATCTTTATGATCTTGTAATTTTCTAAAGCCATACAATATGCCTGCTTTATAATTCAAAGGCCTAATATTTGTTAGGCTGGTTCTTGATTCAGGTTTCTCATTCTCCTTCCTATTTTCAGTATGTGTCCTTCCCTCACACTCTATGCTCAAGCCAAATTATCTATCTAGCATTTCCCCCATTGGCACCTTCTGAGCAGAGGTACTGCAGAGTGCACAGATAGGCCTGGAATGAGTCAGTCACTTTGCAGACAGAGGTGTAAGCCATGCAGGTTTAGGCCTCTACTGCCACCAGCGACCCTATTGCTGGCCTAATCCCTCCTGTAGCTGTGCTCATAGAACCTTAGAAATTCGTTACCTGTTGAGGGAGTATCGCTGGGCCAGTCATCAATGAACCCCGATTCCAATTTAATCCTGGCGCTGCCCCTGACTTGTTATGGGACTTTCTTCAATTCAGTTCAACTCCTAGGCTATGAGATTTCTACTTTCTAGTCTGTAACAAAGGGTGACTAGATTAGATGATTTCTGACATCCTTTGTAGTACTCCAATTCTACAACTCTATACATGTGGATTCAGGAGGCTAGCTCAAACCCTGGGTTCTTCACTTCTTGCAATACTCTCTCAATTCCCTTCTTCTCCCATCCTCTAGTTTGTCCAGATGTTACTGTATTTGTGTACTTCCTATGTATACTAAACCATTATATGGACTACACTCTACTGTATCTATTTGTCTATCTATCTTTTTAACTTCATTCAACTGAGATATGGTCGGCTGTTACTAGCTATCAATGGAGTGAATGAGAAAAGACTGCATATCTTGTCTTTATCCTGCAGGTCTGTCTCTGCCACATATTTCTGAGGAGATCCCGGGCCTGGGAAACTTTGGAGTCAACACTGACCTTTTATCCTGGTTCTATAAACCAGATCACATGCAAGAACGTTGCCTCTTAAAAATTCTCAAAAGTGATGAATAGCTATAGTCCAGGCTAAAGGAAAATGGAGAACACCAGGTTGTTAGTGAGAGCTGAATCACTCTGAGTTATGGAGTAACAAGTTTTATTAGGCTGGTGCAAAAGTAATTTGTGGTTTTCGACATCAATTTTAATGGCAAAAAGTGCAATTACTTTTGCTCCAACCGATAGTTCCCAGAGTCAGGTAGACTAGGAAGTGGCATTCAGAAAGCAGAGACTGGGAAGGTGGAGAAGAGTTAGTGAAATGATTTGAGTTTGGAGACAATGGGGTGAAGGCCCAAGGAAAGTTCCACACTCTTGGGTTGGCCATAGGAAAGCATTAAAACTCAGAATTTAATTTGACTAAATTTGTTTGCCAATTCAACTCTCAATTTCTAATTTTCAGTAAACTTTTATATCCTCACAAATGCTTTACATGGGTAGGTTTTTGTGGAAAACAATAAAGGCAATGAACATTCTATCTGGGTCAATGGTTCTTGATCTTCAGGATGCTTTAGAATCACTCGGGGAACTTTTGAAATCTGGATGCTGATGTCAGACTCCTGAGTGATTACAACAGAATCTCTGCAGGTGGCACCCAGAAATCGGTATATCTTAAAAGATCCCAGGTGAATCCAATATGCAGCTTGATTTGGAATGAGTTATTGTGAAACAATAGACTACAGTGATCAACGTGAACTAATCTGAGAGACTCCTCAGCAATCATGTCTCCTTTGTTCTTTAATCAGTTCTATTTCATCTTATTGGAAACAACTATTTTAATTTTGTAAGCCTCCACTTTTCTCAAAACTTCCAACTCCAATGCCATGTATACTCTCAACTAATGACTTTCCTTCTACCTTTCAGAGATAATTGGAGCTTAACATGAAAAATTTCTTCATTTCTTGTCACCAAATCTGTAAATGTGTTTTTTCTGAATTATGTTTCACTAGTGCCTTTCTATCAATATTTGACCATCCAAAGTCATCCATCTCTAGAAAGTAACAATACAGAAATATAGGCCGTGTGTTTGTTGGAAATAAAATAACACTAACAAAGACCTCTCTGAACCAACATAGAAAAGAGAACACAGTTTATTACTACATGAACATGGTCAGATTTCTATGCACGTAGGTACTACAAAAGTGACTAAAATGTCTAGGCAGACTTTCACATAATTTATTTAGCAAAGCAGAAGTAAGAATAACTTCTCATCTCCTCAAGAGACAAAGGGCTACATCCTAAGATAGTCCTCTTGTGAAAAACTCCCAAGTAAGTTTTGGAGGCATTTGTTTACACTTCCAAGGGTCAGAAAGTCCCCATTCTTCCACTGCAAAATCAAAAGCATAAACCTGTTATTTGGACCTATTAAGATTTCAAGGAAATACTCTAAGGAAGACAGGATGGAGAGATAGTGACCTCCAACCTCAAAAAAGTCATCATTTTACCCTTATGGTGTGTTTTGCTTGGTATATGCATATGTATTTCTTAGCTTTGTGAAGTGAAAGAATCTAGAAGAAATGACACCCTAGTAGAACACCTAGCCTCTAGACCTTTGTATCCAAACACTATTTCTCCATGAAAGAAACCCGTGCTCTTTGGGGAAATGATTAATTTTTAGAATAGGGAAAAATGGTTAATTCCTCCTTCTACAGAGGAAGGCTGCCTCATTTGGATTGAAGCCACAACTGAGTAAGGGCTTCAATGCATGTAGGTGACCCACGTGGGGTGTCAGAATCAAAACAAGGTGAGGGAGCATCCAGACAGAAGTATTATCCATCACCTGGTGTCTAAACCCCTCAGGCTAGTGGGAAGAGAACACCCATGTAAGGCAGTGGCACAGAATGGGATAAAAAGGATTTGCATGTAGAAGAGTCAAGTCACTGTGGGATTTTCTGGTGTAAATAGACTGAAAGGGGCATCTGTATAGGAGGGCTCCAAGGTGCCAGGTATCAAAGCCAAAGAACAGGAGAAGGAGTCCACACAGAAGTGGTGGCAGAACCCAAGCAAGATGAAAAGGGCATCACCGCAGTGATACAGCAAGGTTGGAGTGTCAGAGCCTCACTGAGCAGAGTGGGGTGAGCACCCATGTGGGTTTAACCCAGGAAGGATGAGAAGAGTGTCTATGTGAAATGGATGATAATCTAGGGAGTAGATCAGAGCCCAGGGATGGCATCCAAGAATGACGGTGGCCAAGCATGAGGTGTTGGAGTCAGAGTAGAGTGAAGAAGGTAACTACACACAGGGGTAGCTTAATGTAGAGTGCCAGGGTCTTGAATGGGGTCTGAGGATTAGACAGTAACAGGGTATTAGTGGGAATACAACCAATGCTGACAGTTGTGTTGTGAACATGTAGGAGAAACCTGTTTGTAAGGAATAAACCCCAAAATATTTGGTGGTAACTGGAAATCAGGTCAGTAACTTATTCTCTAATGGTTCAAGAAATTTCTTTTTGTATTTTACTTGAAAATTTTGTCTAAAGCTCAATATATAAATATATATACTTTTATGAACTGGCAAATAGCAAATTCATTCTTAGGTGTATTATCAATAGAAATGTATACATACTGAAAAGCTTCCTGTTTGGATGTTTGAAAGGAACCACCACATTCCATAGAACATATTTACATGGGGCTTTTATTTAAAGGCAAAGGATATGGTGCAGCAAGTGAAAGAGAGTGCGGGCATGGACTGGGAGTCTGAAAGACATCCCATGTTGAAAGCTACCCAGGGCTCCAAGTATTCACAGACACAGAGTGTGCATTCTGTCTCCAGTGTCAACCACCAAGATTCTGTGCTAGGAATCATGCTTTCAGGAGGGCTTCGAGGAGAAATTCTCCACAAGCCTTTTATGTCTCCTTGTCCATGTAATCAAGCTAGGTTTGTCAAACCAATTAGGCCAGTTGTAACCCATCAGTGAAAAACTGACCCTGTAGGTTACCAGGAGGCATTTCCTGACTTTAAATCATACATGATAAATGTCATTGCAGTTATTTTCACCAAGAGTAAAAAATCCAGATATCCAGGTTAAAAGACAAAGCTTTTTCTGTTCAGCTATAAATCTGCACATATTTTTACTAGAAAAAGAATATTTAAAGCATCGTATTCATAACAATAACAGAAGCCAACCCAAATATATCTATTAAGAGAAGAAATAGCAAATAAATTGTGATCTATTTCTACATGGAATACTATGGAACAATGAATAAATATGCATTATTGTTACATAAAATAACGTAGATCAATATGGCAAATAATGTACTGATAGTCCCTTTATATAAAGTTCAACACCCAGGCAAAACCAATCCCTTGTGTGAGAAATTAGGATATCAGTTGCCTTTGGGGTATTAAAAAAGAGGAATGGGCCAGGCACAGTAACTCATTCCTGTAATCCCAGCACTTTAGGAGGCTGAGGTGGGCAAACTGCTTGAGGCCAGGAGTTCAAGGCCAGCCTGGCCAACATGGCAAAACCCTGTCTCTACTAAAATTACAAAAATTAGCTGGGCATGGTGGTGAGTGCCTGTAACCTAGCTACTTGGGAGGCTGAGGCATGAGAATTGCTTGAACCCAGGGTGTAGAGGTTGCAGTGAGCTGAGATCATGCAACTGCACTCCAGCCTGAGCAACAGAATGAGACTCTGTCTCAAATTAAAAAAAGAGTAAGGATTGATAGTGAATATAAAATGAGGTGAGAGTTGCTGGTTATGTTTTATTTCCTCTCTTAGCTGATAGTTAAATGGCTGTGTCAACAATGTAAAAATTCATCAAGCTTAAAATTCGTTCTTAGATGTACATATGCAATATTTCAATAAAAGTGATTTTAAAATATTTTATATAGGGTTGCACACATATACACACACATGTGCACACACATACTCGACATTTATAACTGCTTTTGGAGTCTTCTCAACAAATCCATTTAACTTAACACTGAGTGGGTAGTGACATTACAGCATGTGTTTATTCTCTACCTTTTAAAGTTTTCTTCTATTATTTCCGTGAGTATTTGTTTTCATTTTTCATCTTTTAACTCTTGGTGACTCATTTAGATGGATATCACAACTTATGAATTCAAATTCCATTTCACTTAATGTTTCCCTCATATTTTTCATCTTTTTATATATTTTTAAATTTATTTTATGAAAATAGCTGAGGTTGATCCTCAAATTCAATTTGAAGGCAAAGGATGTTCATGCATAAAGTACTAGGCAGTTACTTTAAAAAATGAGACAGATTTCAGTCTTGTACATGTGCTATAATATAAAAAAATCACATTATCTTTTTTTTAATTTTTATTTTTTGAGACAGAGTCTCGCTCTGTCAACAGGCTGGAGTGCAGCGGCACGATCTCAGCTCACTTCAACCTCTGCCTCCAGGGTTCAAGTGATTCCCCTGCCTCAGCCTCCCAAGTACCTGGGACTACAGGCACATACCACCATGCCCAGCTAGTTTTTTGTATTTTAGTAGAGATGGGGTTTCACCATGTTGGCCATGGTGGTCTTGATCTCCTGACCTTGTGATCCACCTGCCTTGGCCTCCCAAAGTGCTAGGATTACAGGTGTGAGCCACTGCACCTGGCCCATATTTTTAAATTAAAAAATAGTACAATTTATGTAGTACAAGACCTTTAAAAATATCTCTCCATGTGTATGTGGTCTGTGTGTCTTAAAAATGAGTGCAGGCAAGTGTATTTCTAGAAACATACTTTATTAGTTGGGTGCATTGGGTTGCAGGTAACAGAAAACATTCTTATAGTGACTTAAGCAATAAAGTCATCCAATTTTTCTACATAGCAAGACCTCCGGAAATGGAGACTAACAGATTTCCTGCAGAGCTCAACAATGTCAATCACCCAACTTCTTTCTGTTCTGCCACCACAGCACATTCCATTTTCATTCTATGTAATTCCTCACAGTTATAAGATCACACACAACTAACACAACTTAAATAATTATGTCTTTAAACAATAAAAACCAAAGAAAGAAAAAATTTCATATATTTGGCCATCATTTTCATTAGAGGTCAAAATCCTACTAATAAGCTCCCTCCTTTGGCATTCTTCCTAAATACATTGTATTACCTGGAAACAGGACAAATATTCATCTCTAAATCAATCACAAGCAAAGGAATTACACTAACGTTTGTATTAGTTTGCTTTTGCTCCAATAATGCTTAAGAAACATGACAAGAAGTTACTGACCGATAACAGCAAGCATTTACTCCTTGCTCATGAATTTTGCGAATTGGTTGCCGCAGTTCTACCTTAGACTACAGATGAGAGTCAGGTGTGCTCCAGGTGTCTCTCATTCCTGGACCCATGTTGAAGGACACAGACTACTTAGAGCATTTGATTTTTATAATGCTTTATATATATTGATTTTTATAATGCTTTATAAGCAAGAGTTGAAGAGGAGAAACTTCTTTAAAGTTCTGCTTAGTTACTTCTATTACTATTAACCTACCAAATTCTATTGGGTAGAGCAGTCACATAGCCAAGCCCAAAGTCAGTGATACTGGGAAATATTCTTTCCTCATTAAAAAAAAGGTAAGGATGGGGAGGGAACAAGAATCATCTGTTTTAATTATTTTTTTCTCAGACAGAGTCTCGCTCTGTCATCCAGGCTGGAGTGCAGTGGCACAATCTTGGCTCACTGCATTCTTCGCCTTCTGGGTTCAAGTGATTCTCACACCTCAGGCTCCCAAGTAGCTGGGATTACAGGTGCACACCAGCATACCCAGCTAATTTTTTGTATTTTTAGTAGAGAGGGGTTTTGCCATGTTGCCCAGGCCGGTATCGAACTCCTGAGCTCTGGCAATCTGCCTGCCTCAGTTTCCTGAAGTGCTAGGATTACAGGCGTGAGACACTGCACCTGGCCAGAGAACAAAGAATTAGGAACACACAATACAATCTACCACAATATTCATGGCCTAGATCAACCATGGCTCATCCTCTCAGATTGAGAGAGGAATCCATTGTCTGTGAACTTGTTGCAACAATACAAATTTCTTATTCATTGTGAACAAGAAATAAGGAATTGTGGCTATTGAGTAGACAACAGTTCAATGTTGACTTCTCACTATTTAAACAAATTAGACTTTTTTTCTAATTGAGAAAACACACAAACTTGAAGAAACAACTCCAACATTGATGAAAATAGCAGTGATTTATTTAACTAAATATTTTAATTCAACAATTTAGAAAGAGAGTTTTTAATCTTCCACAAACAATTCTACCTTATTTTAAAAAGGCTGCAATTTATATATATGGGACATTCATGTCACAGTATATCAGACAACTCTCTGACACCTTGGGTGCCCAGTTTTCTTTCAGGCAGGACATCAATATTTATCTTCTTTTAATTCTGGCCCATCCACTGGCACAGACTGGTCCCTTATGTTATTATCATGAGCTAGTGATACAGGAAGAGAAGCATTGCTGATCTGTGAAACTGGACAATACATTTAATCTGTCTTGGTATGTAAACCACAGTAGGCACCATGTTTAACTGGGTTTATGAAATGACATCTTGTTCAGGGCAAGGGTCAATATTGAAGAGGAGCTATATTTAATGCTAAATTAAGTGCCCAAGTTAAAGCTAAATTGTTACACACACAAGTCAGTAATTTCAGAACTATGACTTGCAAATAAATCACAAATTGACCTCTTTGAGCACACTGCAGGAAATACTTTGTGTGACATTATATGGCACTAATTGTAAAAGCCAAATCTGACTTCTTTCCAATTATATGTCCAAAAATCATAACTGAGAATTCTCTCTCTTTGGATTTTCTGACATTCTTTCCTTAGTATTAAGGTAATGAATGGCTTCAAAGCTAAAGTTATGGGAAATGCAAGAGCTTATCCAATAGTTAATATCTGAATCTTAGGGTTTATCAACTGTAGCATATCTAAAGACACAAAACCCACCTTTGCTGATTTCCTGGATGCTCTAGATGTGCAAATACAAACCTCACTGCACATGGAAGTGCCCTGTCAGGCACAATTTTCATAAAGGGAATTTAAATAGCTATTTTAATCTCTAGACCAGACTGTGCATTCCAAGAATCTAAGACTAATGAGCCACTTTCTCAGATAATCACTTCTAAATAAACAAGGTCTTTTGCACTGACCCAGGAATCTGCATTGTAGCTGAAAAATTAATTATGCCAATATTATACTAGGCATATCTACAACAATACAAAAGAATGTTCTCTCCATCTCCAAAGTTAGATGTTCATTCAGATGAAATGCAATTTATTCATCTGGAAAGTTCTAAATGTTTTCCTTTGCACCTCTAAATGAGCAGAAAGATATTTCCTTTTAAGAAGAAAAGAGAAAATCCATTATTTTTACTTTTTCTTTAATATATATATAAATCAATAAATTCCCAAACTAAATTTCTCCCCTACTAATTTAATTTGGAATAAAATTAGAACCAATCATTATGAGCAAAATGTTTTCAATTAAGACATAATTAATTAAATGTGCAAATGCAGAATACATTTAGATGGGCTATCAGATGACTGATTATACTGGAAATCTAATTTTACACTTAAATTGCCAGCCACACACTTCATCTTGAGCTGTTGATCCATAGCAAGTTACCATAAGTTAAACCTTACCTCTGGAGGAAGCAGCCTCAGTGGACAAATTTTTTCCTGCAGTAATTCTATGACCATGCCATAGTAACTGTCTTTAGAGGGTAGTCAGAGGTATCTTGCATGAAGGAGCTTCATTCTTGCCATCCTTCTTGTTTTTCAAACAGCATTTTTTTTTTATTTTAAATAAGTAATGCACGTCTTGGCAAGTTGTGAAAGAAAGGCCTCTTTTACTCTTTTCTACTTACTAACCTTTTCTACTCACTCTTTAAAAGGAAGTTGATAATCAAAGTATTAATGTGTGAAAAGGTACTGAGCTTTGAACAATTTTTGAATTACTTAATATTGCATTTTAAACTGTCTAAATTATAGATACAAATGTCTGAATCTATACTTGCTGTTGGTGTTTATGGGTTAAGTATATCCTCAAACTAACCAGGATAATGAATTTTATTGCCTCAGAGATAGAAAGGATGATTTAGCAAGGTTTGTAATTGATATGCATCCATTTTGCTCTAAAAAATGAAGAGATTCCCATCACATAGTTTAAAAAATGTATAGGTCCAAAAATTGGCTACAGTCAATAATTCTTCTCTAAATCTGATGTTATTTAAGTTTCCTGAATATTTGAAAAATTTGTAAGATTTTTTCAAGGATTCTAAAAAGTGGGTGATTGAGGAGGAAAGCAAAAGTTGTCAGCAAGAAGCATTTGTTGAATGTCTACTATGTGCCAAGCAGTGCACTTGGTATTCTCATGTGTCATGTCTTTGTGTATCAATTACTAATCCATAGGTTGATGCAAAAGTCATTGCAGTTTTAACCATCATTTTCAAGGGCAAAAATCGCAATTACTTTTGCACCAAATGAATATCATTTCTCAGTCCCAAGCCAATGCTTCTATTTTTTGCAATGTTTAGTTGGACATCTATAACGGCCTTCCATGAGGCAGCCTACTGTCTCCCAGAGCATGATAAGGAAGTTCCTTGGGTTAGATATCTTTCTAGCCTGAAACATAACAATTTGCATTTCAGCCCATTGAATTAGACATTTTTCTCTTCAGATAATTTCTTTGGAAATGAAAATGTTCCTCAAAGTGTAGCTACCTATTGGGTCACTGAAGCTTTAATATTAGCAGGTTTGCTGGTTCGCTGTCTTCAAGAATAGTGGATATTTTGCCACAAAGGGAGAATAGGAAGCCAGAGTGGAAAGAGGGGAACAAAAACAGGGATAGATACAAGGGAAGAAGATAGACGGTATTAGCATTTACTACCCCATCATTATATGTACCTTGATTTGTTCCTGGAGTTGCTGAAGGATGGCTCAGTTTCCCCTTTCTTGTATAATTCTTTGATTCAGTTGTAGTCTGACTTTTGAAAGCTGACTGTAGAAAGAGGAATATTTAGAAAAATAGGCAAAGTGATGTTATGGTTTAAAATCATCAAGTGGGAAATCCAAAACCACGGTTCTCAACCTTAGCTACTCATGGAAACCACCTGGGAAATTTTTAAAAATACTGATGGATGGGTTCCATGCCCATAGATTTTTAAAAAATTCTTCCAAAGGATTCTGACATCCTAATCAGGGTTGAAAGCTACTGCTCCAAAGAGCTTGACATAATCAAATGAACATTTATCAGGTGTTCACAAGGTTTAGGAAGGCCCAGCACAAAGCAAAACCATAGAGACGTTGAGTACTCTTTTGCTTCAGCATTCAGCATCCAATTCCAACTCCATGCTTTTCCTTACTTCCAACTTCCATCTTTGCCCCGAGCAACCTGTGCAGAAAACCATCAGTTTCCCTGCTCCACTGGACATCTAAGGACTATGGTGGTGATAAAAAATGAGAGTCATCAAAAAGGTCCAAGTTTAGTGAAGATGTGCAAAGGGAAGCAGCCCTTCCCAAAGAATTCAGTGAATGAGCCAAGATTCTCCAGAAACCGCTCAGCTTTGCAGTGATAATTTTCTGTGAAGACATAGAGTGAAATGGGAATAAGAGATAGAAAGTTGAAAAAGAATTTTCTCAGAATCTACATGTAACCTTACAGAAGGCAAACAGAAGGGTTAGTGAGATACATGGAATCACGCAGCTGAGGTGAGACAATGTAGGAAAATCAAGCATGAGACAGGAAATCAGGATATTGTGTTTCTTTGTGAAGACTCGGTTCCCTCTAATTGCTCATAAACCTAAAATCCCTACTTCATTCTTTGTAACATTTTTTCTCATTTCTTCCTGGAATTTTTGGATTCCATGCTTTTTAAGATGGCTTGAGAGAAAGACTTATCAGAGTCAACCTAACAGGCATTTATTAAGATACTACCAAGGGTGAGACCCTGAGTAAATGATTGTCAAATTTGAATATGTGGTTAGAAACACCTGAAGGACTGCTGGGCCCCACACCCAGAGTTTCTGATTCATTGAGTTTGAGCTGGGACTTGGGAATTTACATTTCTAGCAAATTCCCAGATGATATTGATATTGCTGTCTGGAGGCCACACTTTGAAGACCACTGCCTCTAGGAATGGGAAAAGAAATTAGATATCAGCAATCTGTCCTTAATGAGATTGCTTAAGGCTTTGTATTAGGGATGTACTTTGTCATGGAACATGTCATATAAATGACAAACTGAGAACACTGGCAACATATTTTAAAAGTAAAATATAGTACAATACACGCCAGAAGTTCTGAGAAGGATAAATAATTAAGTAGTGGTGAGGCAGAAGAGGCTAATTAGAGATGACAAAGAATAATACAAAAAACATGGGCCACAGAGCCAGGGGTGGCCTGGAGCTGAGCTGAGCTTATTAGGGGACAACTGCATAGGTGGACTTAAGGGCAAAACTGAAGGTTTTAAATGCTATGAAGTGTAGGGCCATGCTGCTGGTGCTAATTAAGCACTGAGAACTACCTTTCATACAAGGCTGAGATCTGTGAGACAGCCTCTTGCTTCTTGATCATGAACATCTTCAGTTAGATAAAGAAAGGGTCTAGTGAGGGTAGGTGGGTTACTCAAAATCCCTAGTGTTTAATTAGTTTTAGTTAGTTGAGACTGATTGTGATGAAACACAACATTTAACTTTGCTATCTCCTAGGCAAGTGCTGCCAGAAATAAAAAGTCTCCTTTTTACAGAAAAGAGAACATGGAAAGGCTGTCCAGAGTTCAGTCTCAAAGGCAACACTGGGCAGGGACTGACAAAGGGTTGAGGAGTGTCCATTAACCTGGGTATTGGTGATGGAAAGCATATCCTGAAATTGGAGATAGCAAGACTCTTGGTGAACTGTTGAGTAGACTGGGTTGAATTCAGTGAAGGATCTAAAGGAAAAATAAAAATATTAATGCTTCTATGTAGTATTAAAAGTTGTGACCATAAGATAGCAAGTATAATCACACACCAAAAAATGACTTTTCTGTCCCAAGTGAGTGGTGGGCTTCAATGTAGTCACCCAGAAAACATTAAATATTTGTCATATGTTCAAGATACATTTTGAAACATCTAAGGAAATAGAAATTATCACTTTGTTACATGTGCATGTAGGTGCACACACAGAGTATTACTCAGCGAATTTTTTCAGCTTTATTCTATATAATTATATATTTTTTCCAGCCTTATTCTGCCTGACTATCCAGATTTTACACTGTTTAGATCTGGCTGTTTCCAAATTGCACAAACTGTCTTGAACTGAAATGGACAGAAGGCAGGCAAATACTGGTAGAAAAGGGCAGGATCTTTGGCAAGGGCTCCACCCACAAGCTTGGACCCTCAGCCCAAAGTGAGAACTATCCCTGTTTTCCCACCTGATTGTTGCCTTTTGGCCCACCCCACACCACCCCCTATCCTGTGCCCATAAGAACCCCAAGCCCCAGACTCAGTGGACACACACACAGAAGAGAGAAGTGTCTGGATATTGAGATGAGAAGAAGCAGCTGGAGGTCAGAAACTATGGTCAGAGAGGAGTTCAGCTGGAGACACCCGGGCTCCAGGGGAAGATTATCTTCCCACTCCATCCCCTTTCCAGCTCCCTTTCCCACTGAGGCCCACTTTTACCACTCAATAAAGTCCTCCACATTCACCACCTTCAATTTGTTCATGTGACCTGATTCTTCCTGGACGCTGGATCAGAACTCAGGTACCAAGACAGCAAAGTGTAAAAGGCTGTCACCCTGACCTTCCACTGAGCTGGTTAACACTTAGCCATCCACAGACAGCAAATGTTAAAGGAGCACTGATTGTAACACATGCCCTCTGGGGCTCTGGGGGTCGCAGACAGCCCCTCCCAGACCGCAGAGCTAAAAGACTATTGTAACACACTTTGACACTGCTGCAGAACCCACACAAAGCTTGCTCCCGCCGGAGAGGAGCCACAGGCCAGTTCCACATTCATTTGCTCTGGTTCCCACACCCATCCACTCATGTGCTTCCTTCCATAAGGGATTCAGCATGGTAAACAAGTAAACAAGTCACTCATGTCACAAGTCCTGCAAAGGGGTCAAGGGAACACTCCTGTTTCAGAACCATTGAGGAAATTCAAAGAATCTGTGACAAGCTTCTTACCAGTGCCCTGAGATCTTGTGATTTCTCAGGATAGAAATCAAGAGAGATCACCAGAGGCAGCAATGAAGAGAGTTTATTACCTCTCAGGGAGCCAGCCATGAGAGAGCAAAAAGGAGTGGGCTGTTCCCCAAAGATACTGTGTGGTTCGGTTAGGTATAGGGTCTTTCCATAGGGAAGGATTCCCTCAGGGAATGTATAGGGAGAGTTTTGCTAGCACCTGCACAATGGCTCAACATGTTTCTTCATACATTGCATGTAGCATTAGAATTTTAAATCTCCACCCCTGGGCATGAACTTTAGTGTTGAAATGAGGAAAAGATAACTTTAGGTTGGAGTTTAAGTCTGACTCCACATATGGGACTCTGGGAAAGCCTCTAGCCCCCTGAAATAGAAATTTGCAATTAATAGCTTCCTTGGTCTTTTATTGCTGATTGGCTGAGAGTTAGACAAGCTAGAGTTTGAGTTGAGGGGCTTTTATCCTTTTCCTTCAGACAATCTTAAGATAGGGAACCAACCAGTCGGCCTGTCTCAGGCTCTAAGGAAAATTCTGAGAGGTCAGCAAGAAACCTAATATTATAAACAACAGTGCCATCAGCAGTTATTTAAATATATAAATATAAATTTTAAAGGTCCTATTAAAGTCATTCTGAGCCTGTACATTTAAACCATTCTAAATGTTTACGAGTATTTAGATACGAGAAGAAATTAGACCCAAATTATGCATCAATATCCAATACATGTGCACTGTGTATTCAAGATCAATATAATCTCCCACAGACTGTTCTGCTGAGTTAGCTAATATACAAAGACTTAGTTTGTTTTCTATATGTTAGAACATGAAAGAAAAGATATGTAGCTCACTGCCATTCCAAAATCCCAACAAATTATGGAACTGCCTCCATTGTGAAGCTGGCTAGTTTTCTTTTTTCTTTTTTTTGTTTTTTAACAGAGTTTCACTCTTGTCACCCAGGCTGGAGTACAGTCGAGCAATCTCGGCTCACTGCAACCTCTGCCTTCTGGGTTCAAGCGAGTCTCCTGCCTCAGCCTCCCAAGTAGCTGGGATTACAGGCATCTGCCACCACACCCAGCTAATTTTTTTGTATTTTTAATAGAGATGGGGTTTCACCATGTTGGGCAAGCCGGTCTTGAACTCCTGACCTCAGGTGATCTGCCCACCTTGGCGCTAGTTGTTTTTTAAAAGCCATCTTTCTAATGAAATGTAACACTGATGATTGCCTTACACATAGATAACATTAGGCCTCACATAGTAATCTCAGTGCTAACTACATGTCTTACCCTTCCTAAAATTTTACATTTTCTCTGTGGTTAAAGTCATCTTACAAAAAGACCCACATTTTACAAAGATTTAATTGTCTTGGATTTCAAATTACAACTAGTTTGATAGCCAAAAGGTTAAAAACAAATTGATTTTATGAAAAATTCTTATAGTATTAAATTTGACATGGATTACCATTAATAATAGAATCCTCTGCTGGCTGTGAGACATGCAAAGTTGCAAAGCCCAGATCCACAGATTAGAAAGGATTTTGACATGTATAATTGTGTTAGTCAGTTTGGGCTGCTATAACAAGATATCATAGACTGAGCGATTTAAACAACAGAGATTGATTTCTGGAGTTCTGGAGCCTAGGATAGTCCAGGGTCAGGGTGTCAGCAGACTGTGACTGGTGAAGACCCCCTTCCTGGTTTGCAGATGCTGTCTTCTTGTATCCTTAGATGGCGGAGAGAGAGATCATCTTTTCTTATAAGGGCAGGAATCACACCTATGAGGGCTCCACACTCATGACCTAATCACCTCCCCAAGGCCCCAACTCCAAATATCATCAACTTGGGGGTTAGGCTTCAATATATGAATTTTGGGGGGACACAGATATTCATTCACAGTAATAGCACTGTTGACAGCACACACAGATACCCCACATTCTTTTGCTCTTTCTGTAAGCCTCTTCCAACTGCTTTGTGCTTTGCTTCCGAAGGCCTGCAACTGAGACTTTTTTTTTTTTTTGAGACTGAGTCTTCCTCTGTAACCCAGGCTGGAATGCAGTGGCATGATCTCAGCTTACTGCAACCTCTGCCTCCTGGGTTCAAGCAATCCTCCTGCTTCAGCCTCCTGAGTAGCTGGGATTACAGGCACCTGCCACCAAACCTGGCTAATTTTTGTATTTTTAGTGGAGATGAGGTTTCACTATATTGGCCAGGCTGGTCTCGAACTCCTGACCTCTTGATCCGCCTGCCTCAGCCTTCCAAAGTGCTGGGATAACAGGCATGAGCCACCAGACCCGGCCGCAACTGGGACTGTCTTTAAGGATCTCTGCATGGAGCTGGGAGAGGGGAGCTTTAACCCTCTGTGCAGTTCTTAGGCAATGACTGACTGGTCCAAGTGTCTGACAATCTGACTCCCTGGCCTCAAGTTGGATGAGGCTGAAGCTGGACTTTGACAAAATCACACACTTTCTTGGGTTCTCTCTTTTCCATATCCTTCTTTCCCTTCTCCTTCCCTGTCTTCCTTTGAGATCACCTTGTTAACAAATTACTCCCACATGACTCCTCATCTCAGGGGCTGCTTGAGGAGAATATGACATCAGGCAATATATGCACAAAGAGCTTTACAAATTTATAAAATTTTTTTAATTAATTTTTTTTTGTAGAAATGGGATCTCTCTATGTTTCCTAGGCTGGTCTCAAACTCTTGGGCTCAAGCAGTTCTCCTACCTCTGCCTCCCAAAGTGCTGGGATTATAAGTATGAGCCATTGCACCCTGCCAAAATAAGATAACTTTTGTAACCAAAATATAGGCAGAGCCCTTCATGGCACAGACTC
This sequence comes from Homo sapiens, assembly GCF_000001405.40. NCBI lineage: Eukaryota > Metazoa > Chordata > Mammalia > Primates > Hominidae > Homo > Homo sapiens. The sequence continues at coordinate 6,879,048 of NC_000021.9, read as the reverse complement.
TGCACAGATTTCATCTGAAACCAACAGCAATCCAGTATTCTTTAGTTACCCCTCAGAAATATTTAATTAAGGTTGGGGATAAATGGCTGTTATGAGACAAGGAACATATGTTGATGCAAGTAGATTTATTACAATGATCCCATTTCTACTCACATGTTACTGAGGCTCAAAGAAGTGAGTACTGCACATTGAGTATATGACATGGGACCAGCCCAACAGGTGAAAGAAGTTGGAAATCTGTTTTATGTCTGAATTTGAAATGCAATAGCAGAAATCTGTTTTACGTGTAAATTTGGAATGCACTGCCATAAAGTATATCCTTTAAAGGTTTTATGCCTATGGTTACAAATCTTGTGGAGTGAGGACTTTAACATATCCCTCTTTTCTCTCAGACAGAACTGTAAGGTCTAATAAACATATTGGATTTAAGTTCTAATAAAGATATAAGCCATAAAATTAATCTCTTGTTAGGCTTCTCTGCTTACATTTGTACACTTGCTTCCAATCTTCAAGCAAGAGAGCTCTGCCCTCTAGAAAGAAGATGTGGGCCCATTCTGCAGGCCCAGAGGATTCAGGGACAGCTGCAGTTTCACATTTATCAATGACATCTATTCACATTTTCTGATTCCAAGTCTTAAGAAGCCATTTCTTCCTTACCAAGTTCCTGGCTGTTGCATGGGATTGCTGAGGATGTAAACTGGGTGTCCCTGAAGGTCCACTGTTTTGTTTTTGTTTTGTTTTGTTTTGAGATGGAGTCTTGCTCTTGTTGCCCAGGCTGGAGTGCAATGGCGTGATCTCAGCTCTCTGCAACCTCTGCCTCCTGGGTTCAAGTGATTCTCCTGCCTCAGCCTCCTGAGTAACTAGGATTACAGGCATATGCCACCATGCCTGGCTAATTTTGTATTTTTAGTAGAGATGGGGTTTCTCCATGTTGCTCAGGCTGGTCTTGAACTCCCGACCTCAGGTGATCCATCTGCCTCGGCCTCCCAAAGTGCCGGGATTACAGGCCTGAGCCACCAAAGGTCCACTGTTCTTATAGTTGGTCCTGGCCTGGTCTTCAGCATGGTCTCCCTTGGCTATAGAAAAAGGGGGTTTGTTTAAGAGCTGCCAAGGGACTTTTTGACTTTCTCACTTTGCCTTATGCTGACCAACTGGAGTCTATTTATCATGGAACCCATCCACAGCCTTTGTAATGACCATTTACCTTGTACCATCAAAAGCCAAAGAAAATTGCACAATCTAGCATACCTGTTCTGTCAGAATCCCTTCTGTATTAGTTTCCTAGGGCTTCTATAACAAAATACAATAAATTGGGTGGCATAGAACATGAGGAATTTATTATCTCACAGTTCTGGAGACTAGAAGTCCAAAATCAAGGTGTCGGCAAGGTTGGTTCTGAGAACCGTAGGGAAGAATCTGTTCCATGACCTCCCTGTTGGCCTCAAATTGTTCTTGTGGATGCCCTGTGTCTTCACACCATCTTTCCTCTAAGCATGTATGTCTCCATGTTCAAATTTCACTTTTTTTGTGAGGTCAACAGTGATATTGAATTAGGGCCCACCCTAATGATCTCATTCTAGTTGGATTATCTGCAAATATCTTATTTCCCAGTAATATCACATTCCCAGGTACTGGGGGTGAAATTCAACATCTTTTGAGGTTACATAATTCAACCCATGACATCATCTTAATTCGCTCCAGGTAAAAGTTTTAGCAACTGCAATGCTCTAGTGTGTCAGGGCCCCTCTGGGCTCCACATACCCCCTGTGATGGGGTATTTATTGCCACTTAGCTGGTGACTTAACTCTAGAATCCCATCCTCAGAATCTGCCTCCAAAAATCATCCTTGCACTCCTAACCAAATACCTAAGGCTGGACCTCCAGAAGCCAACTCTGAGACACAGATCATGAACAGGGTATTTATTAAGGGCCAGGAGAAGAACACAAGAGAAAAGGAAATGAAGAACAGAGAAAGGCACAATTTTAGCCAACTCCCTGGCCTTAGCCAGATCTTTGGGGAGCTCTAGACCATAAATTATGTCAGAATTTGCCCCATTTTGAGGAAAGGGAGTCAGGCTTTCAGAATCTTGCACAGTCATTGGCTATAGGCTTCCCTAGAACTACACTACCAGGCATTCCAGGCTCTCTCTGGGAGGGAGGGACTGGCCCATGGTCAGCCTCTGAAGAAGGTCACAGGGGCAGGCCATTTGGAACAAAGCACAGAGAAGCTATAGGATGCATTCACATGGCTGGTAAAGTGGATAAGAAGGGGTCCGGGGAGAGCATGGAGAAAGTTTACCACCCAAAGCAATACACTTTTGCCTACTTGTGCTGACATTTACTGAGCTTCAACACAGGAATGTTCTAGATAAAATAATATTACTCTGCAACATTGAGGGAAGACCAAGAATGCCTTGAGATAGGACTCAGCATGTCCTGGAAGCAGGGTGCCATTGTGTGGGAGGGAGGTGCCCAGCAGAGGTAATTCTTGGATCCATGGCACCTGCGGTGGACAACTGGCCAGGAGGAGCCACAGGAACCAGCCCCACGGGCTCAACAAGGCCACAGAGCAGCAGCAGGAGGCCCTGAGTAAGACCCTGTTTGTGACAGTCCCCTGAAACTTTAAAAGACAAAGCAAGGGAAGAAAGCGGCGGTGAAGATGGATTAAAGGCCTCACAGTAACAGGTCTGTAGGTACAGCCAGAGAAATCAACGCTTATTGTTTTTAATGTGTCCCGCTTTTTCTTCTTCCTTTTAATGCCAGATGGGTGCGGCAATCCTTTGTTAAGACAGAAATTATTTTACTTTTTTTCCACAGTGGTACAGAAAAATGTACAGGGCTCATTAGAAATATTTAGTGGATGGAAAGTAATTTGAAGAAATCGATGAGGTTGAAAATAATAATAAAAGAAGTCAGAAAGGGGCAGAGAAAGATAGAAATTTACAGGTTTCAAAGCAGGGATACATGAGGAAAAAGGTTACATAAGTTCTCTCTTTGAAGCACAGAAGGTGTGCAGGAAGGGAATAACACCCATCCACATGCTCGTGCTCAAGAGATTCAGGTTTCTCTTAAAGTGAGGTCCTGGGAGTGCAGACTGAATATATTTGAGGAAACCTAGGTTCAGACAGGTTAAGTGATTTTTCTCAGTTACACAGCTGTGGATTGCACAGCTTAAAAAATATTATAAAAATTCTTATGAGGATTATAACTGAGAAGTAGGTGTCTTTTTTGCTCACAGAATATTCTATGGCAAATCCTAGACTCAGGTTCTTATAGCCATAGCCCCAGGCTGTGCCAAACATCCACACACACCCACTTTCCCATTCTCTCCAGCAGACCTCATAAGTTATCTTAATATGTAGTCTATGGTCTATTTAGGCACCACCTGCACACAATCATCATTTATCAAATTGCCTAGGCAAACCAACATCGGCTTTGCTATATCTTGGCAAATGTCTCTCCTATATTTAGCCTTTTAGCCACAGTGTGATGATTGGAATGTGTCTTACAGAAAGGAAGCTTTCTCTGAGAGCCATGCAGGGGTGAGGCGGCAAGCCTCTGACGGAGATAACTTCCTGACTTGTGTTTGGCATTTCTCCAAGCTGCTGAAATAGTACTTGAAGTGTTTCATGGACACACGGAGATTTAACACCTGCAAAGTTAAGCCTGACGCCCTAAGGTGGAATGCTGAAACGGCAGAGAGCAGAGCAAGTGTAGGTGAGGATTGCGTTTCACCTTCCTAGTGCCCTCATAGGGTGCGTTGGATTTATGTCTCACTGAGTGAGGCGCCCTCTCCTGGCCGACGATCCCACTGGCTCAGTCACAGCAGGAAAGCGAGAGCTGCAGGTTGCAGAAAGACAGGGCTCCACTCTCAAGGGAAACTGCTGACAATGCCAAAAGTCAGAATCCTTTCACTGTCTCTTTACATCCCAGCTGTCAGACAAGCTAACTTTAAATTTTAACTTAAGCAAGATTGTGTTTTTTATAGAATATTTCAACACAGAGGGCAAATTTCATTCTAATGTGACAAAAGCAGCGTTGGGAAAAGAGTTGGAAATGTGTGCTTTTGAATGTGACCTGAGATATAGCTTCCAAAGCTGGCCATTGCTCTCCTGGCCCAGAGCCTGACCCCATCTCATGACAGGAGAAGCTGAATCTCACGCTCTGTAAGAACCTGGCTTACTCCCTCATTAAATATGAGTCCCTGTTCTCAGAAGTGGATCACTGTAGTTTGAAGGATCAACATTGATCAAACATATCCATTTCTGCCAGTTTTACCCCTCTCTATGCTGTTACTAAACAAGATAAGTTATTCTACAATTTATGTAAGTTATAAAATAGTAATTAAATATTTTGGAATATGTGAAAAAGTAAACTACCAAAATCTCCCTACCTACCTACAGTATTATCATCTTAATGTATTTCCTTTTTTCTCCTTTTATATGCACATTTACACTAAATGTTTATGTGTACATATATATTTTAGCCTATAATACTATTTTATTTTGATTTAACATGTATTTTATTTACTATGTAATATATGACATATAAATATATATTTTATATTATCACCTTATATTTATAGCTTTCTTCTGTAATGTTGATTAATTATTATCAGGAGTAAATTATATTTAGAGAATATGCTGCAGCAATAAAAAGCTTAATAACAAGGAATCTGGACTAAAGTAGAACAGGGTAAGCCCACATCCAATTAAGAAAGCTCTTTGGACACATATATATTCCACCAACAGAGCTACTAAAATGTAACTTACATTCTTAAGCTTTCCATAGTCTGTATACCCATGTTGCCAAAGATACACTACAGTAAGAAAGAAGAGAATTTTATACCTGAAAGATTTTTGCCTGTGCTGGCTTGTAGGGAATATTCTTAAAGACTAGCTTCAACTCTGTCTGTTGTTGTTCCCAATGAATTATCCAAGTATCTAAGAGTTTAGGGTTCATGCTGCCTTCAGCCATTGAGGCCATTCACCTGGTGAGATATGTTTTCCCCAACAAAACATGGAACCCCTGGAGAATATATACGTGTCTGCAGTCATGTTCCATTATGGTTTTGCTTTCAGTTAGCCAATCATATATATAATTCATAGTAAGGGTATCAAGGTCTGTTTTTGTTCCACCAGCAAGCCCATGGCAGTTTGGGAACCAAAGGCATTCAGAGTATCTGAAATCACTCCAATTCCCAGGATGGGTTGAACCTACCTGAGAGCTCTACAGGGCAAAGGCAAGCTGTTCTGTGTCTATTTTTTCCTTAAGCCATTTCATACACACACCTTTGATGAGAGCACCTAAGTGTCATAAAATGCTGACTTTGGACCCAAAGACAGATTACCTTGAAAGAAATGGGCTGGGATTTCCAATTAGCAGCAGAAATTCCAGGAATTTCCAGATTACTTGGCACCCATATTATCAGCTACATATAGGGAGTCTGGACTTGAAAATTCAGGAGCATGGGGGTGCATGGTAGTGAATTCCTGTAATTTTATATTGCCTTGGCATTCATTTTGAATATAAGTTGGACTTTCTCATACAAGAAACATGGTTTAGTCACCCTTGGCACAATTTCCAGTTCTCTATTTCATCCCAGTTCCTTAATATGGTCAATCCAGATATCTCCCTTATACAATTGTCTGCTGTTGACCACCTTCCCTAAGGGACAGTTAGGTACCACCTATTGGCTTACCCCACTGACTCCTCCATCCCCCATAGACTGTACAGATATGCTGCAGCGACAACCTCTCAGTAACAGCGTGGCCACATAGGACTTGGAACAGCTTGCTTTAAACTCGCAAATTAGAACTCCCATGGAAACCCACCTAATAATACCCTGGACTCCAATAAAAGCTTTAGCACACAGGTCCCTCACTCTCTCTTTTGCTCTGCACTTTGTGGTTCTGGTAGAGCATGTATATCTGGAATGGCTCTGCTTTCCCATCAGCTCTGCAAGGAGTGCTGCCCTTTTCTCTAATCTGTAAGTAATAAACTCCTCCTATTATTGTGTGGTTTTTGTTGCATCGCCTCCTCTGCATCTCACCTGACTGACACACCTGAACCTAGTTTCTTTCCAAGGGAAAGCTCTCCTAGACAATGGATATCTTGGTAGAAATAAACTGGACATAGGTCAGACAAGAGCCACGAGGGTGCCTGCTGGTATAAGCATGTTTCCTGTGAGTGGGACACCTGGTCATGGGTTGGACGCTTAGGCACTAGGCAACACTTAGGCATTAGGCCATCCACTAGGATAAAGAAGTCACTGTAGACATCCATGACCCAAATACTGGAGCCCTTTCAGTGCAGGGTTAGAATTCACAGCCATTTTCCAGAGAGAAACCTCAAGACCAAATTAGAAAAACAAAATTCCAGTACTCACCAACAGCCTCCTGCTTTTAGAGAAGGGGGTGCTTGAAACTTCTGATTAGCCTCTCACTCTCTGTCATTTCCCATCTCCCCAGGAGGTAAAATAGCTCACCCCTGCTAGGGAAGGGTAGAAGTGGGGAGAAGCTAGGCAGATGGTTGGCAAGGATTACTTCTCGTATTTCATCCTAATTTGCATTAATGCTCAACTTTGAATCACTCTTTCTGTGTATATAATTTTTTAGTAAAAAAAATTCCTCTTCTTTTCAATTTTGAGCCTGAAATTGTGAACAATTTGATTGCTATTTGTTAGTCACATTAAGATTCTCTTAAAATATACTCACACATTGTTATGTATCTAGCAGGCATATACTAATGTATGTTCTTGTAAAAATATGCCTATGGGTATTTAATGCCAGAGACAATTACTGTATTTCGTTTCAAGTTCAGTCCACAGCATGGGACCTCTTCTGAAAGTGCATGTACAAAAATGATTATGTCTAGTATAGCTCAAAGTATTGTCTTCCATTCTCACTCCTGGAGAATATTACATTTTTCCCCCTCCAGAATTTTGTAATTACTGTAGGGGAAGAAAAATTAAAAGATGCTAAATTTACCAAGTGTAGATCTTTCTTTTTTTTTTTTTTTTCTTCAGTATATATCTCATTTTAATAAGACCACAGTATAGTCTCACCTGACAAAATAAACAATAATTTCTTAATATCATTAAATAACCAGTCTATGTTCACATTTCCAATTAGCTCATAAATATCATACATCATTTTTATTTCTATATTATGGTGATGCAACAGCAAAATTCAGACTGTAGGAAAAACTACAGGATAACTAGTTTTCTTCAATAAGCAGAAAAATGTATAAATTAAAAAAAGAAAGAAAGAAATGTGGAAATATGGATTATAAGAGACTTAAAAGTTATTTCAAACAATCACTGTATGAACTTCATTTGGATCCTGAATACTGGAAATTGTTTAATTCTTTTTTGTGCACTAGGGATGGAGAGTCAAATTACTGTGTCTTCTAAAAGCCCCAGATTTCACTACCACACAATTTATCCATGTAACAATCCTGCACTTGTACCCTCTAAATCTATAAAAATAAAAATTTATTTAAGATATTTTTAAAAACAACAACAATTGTGCCTTAAAGCCATTGGGAAGAGTTCCTCTCTGTGAAGGTGTGCTCCTAACTGAACACACAAGATTTGTAAAAATTGCTTTTTTATTTTTTGTTTTGTAATTACGTAAAATATTTATGCAGCTCAGAAGTCAAGTTTACAAGGCAAATTCACTTCTGTGCCTATTCTCTTTTTTTTTTTTTTTTTTTTTTTTTTTTTTCCTCAGGGATCTAGAACTAGAAATACCATTTGACCCAGCCATCCCATTACTGGGTATATACCCAAAGGACTATAAATCATGCTGCTATAAAGACACATGCACACGTATGTTTATTGTGGCACTATTCACAATAGCAAAGACTTGGAACCAACCCAAATGTCCAACAATGATAGACTGGATTAAGAAAATGTGGCACATATACACCATGGAATACTATGCAGCCATAAAAAATGATGATGAGTTCATGTCCTTTGTAGGGACATGGATGAAATTGGAAACCATCATTCTCAGTAAACTATCGCAAGAACAAAAAACCAAACACCGCATATTCTCACTCATAGGTGGGAATTGAACAATGAGATCACATGGACACAGGAAGGGGAATATCACACTCTGGGGACTGTGGTGGGGTCGGGGGAGGGGGGAGGGATAGCATTGGGAGATATACCTAATGCTAGATGACATGTTAGTGGGTGCAGCGCACCAGCATGGCACATGTATACATATGTAACTAACCTGCACAATGTGCACATGTTCCCTAAAACTTAAGAGTATAATAAAAAAAAAAAACATTAAAAAAAAAAAAAGTGTAGATCTTTCAAAACTTCACAGGTAAAAGTGCCTCAGAAACATTTTTCAAAATGGTTTTGTCAATACTTTAATCAAAGAATTAGCTAAAGACTTGCTGTTTGAATATGAAATTATGTTATTCTCACAAAATCTTTCCCTCTGTGATTAAAAATTGTAATCCTCATGTTCTTGTTTTATTACCTGCTATATATAAAATATATTTAGGGCAGGGCACAGTGGATCATGCCTGTAATCCCAGCACTTTGGGAGACCTAGGCAGGAGGATTATTTGAGCCCAGGAATGGGCTCAAATGCCCAGCCTGGGCAGCACGCAGATACCCCAACTCTCTCTATATGTGTGTGAATAAACTAATGTGAATTTTCTTTCCCTACCTGTACTGGAACAAGTTTAAAAGTCCTACATACATACGGGAAACATTAAGAAATGTAAGTCATTATCATCATCATGGTCATCTTCATCAAACACTCATTTGGCTGGTGGGAAACAGATTCAAATTCATTTCTGTTTGACATCTGAATTCAAGACATTCACATCTTGAAAGTTTAATCCTTATCCTTTACTGCCTCATGTATTCTATGTAACCAAGAGAGATGATGGGCTTGTATTTATTTGCGCCTTTTCTTTGGTTCTACATGGGCAACTATTTGTCTTCTACATAAAACTTTATTTATCCTGAGCCAGTCTGGATAGGCTTGTGTTCCTGAATATTGAGAGTTCTCTGAGTAAATGCTCTCTCTAGATAATTTTATCCTATATCATAGGTTTTAATCTTACCCAAATGCTGGTTATTTCTAAACTAACACATCCAGCCTTGACCTCCCCTCTGTGTCCAGATTCAGATACTTGACTGCCAAATTAACACCTCCTCTGGGATATCTGAGAAGCATTCTGAATTTAACCACTCAAAACAGAAACTTTGATTCCTCCCTGCCCCAAATATGATGCTCCCCCTCACTTCCAGTCTTAGTGGAAATATCATCTCTAACTATCCAGTGGCTCTGGCCCTCAATTTAAAAATCAGCCTGGATTCCCTATGTTTTACACACTCCAAATCCATTCTATTGGCAAAGCCTGTCAACTTTACCTTCACAACACATCCTAAATCGAGTTCTCACCTTTTTTGTAGATACTACCCGAGGCCATGTTTCCGTTATCTCTCTTCTAAATTACAGCAGTCATTTCTGATTGTTCCCTCTATTTCCATTACTTTTTTTTTTTCCAACCCAATCCCAGCTATTTTCCAAACAGGAGCCAGAATGATTCTTTCAAAAACGTAGATCAGATCACATCATTTCCTGCTCAAATTCTACAACAGATTTTCACCACATGAAACAAATCCATAAGTCTTCACCATTATCTCCCAGGCCACAGGGAATCTAGGCCCTGCTTATCTTTTGTATCTGTTACTTACTACTTTTCCCTCTGCCACTCTATATCACTTTGGCACTATTTTTCTTGCTGTTTATTAAACCTCCCAGCTCTTGCAGCCTTAAGGCTTCTGATTGGCTATTCCCTCTTGCATCAGATATTGGTGTGGTTCTTTCATCATTTCTTTCACTTCTGAGCCTTCTCTCCAACAATACTCTCTACACACACACATTGTGTCATTCTATATTCAACCACACTTTATTTTTTCCACATAGCCCTTATCACAACCTAACACTATATTATGCATTTGCTTCTTAACTTGCTGTTTTTTTCATTAGACTGGACACTCCACAGGGGCAGAGATTTCACCAATTTTGCTCATCCTTGTATTAAAAACATTTTTTAAAGTGCCTGGCACACAGTAGGTTCTAAAAATAAGTGTTGAATTTTACCATTATGCTTTTAATATTTTTTCCAAAATAGGTTTTTATGCTCTGTATTCTTAGATTATGCTGAACACCATCGTCTTTAAGATTTGCAGCATTTGTTAGAAATGCTGGTTGTGTTGCTCTGTTAGAAAGTACAGATCTAAGACCGGGCATGGTGGCTCATGCCTGTAATCCCAGCACTTTAGGAGGCTGAGACGGGCGGTTCATGAGGTCAGGAATTTGAGACCAGCCTGGCCAGCATGGTGAAACCCCATCTCTACTAAAAATACAAAAAATTAGCTGGGCATGGTGGCACATGCATGTAATCCCAGCTACTCGAGAGGCTGAGGAAGGAGAATCACTTGACCCCAGGAGGCGGAGGTTGCAGTGAGCTGAGATCACGCCATCGCACTCCAGCCTTGGTGACAGAGAGAGACTCTGTCTCAAAAAAAAAAAAAAAAGTACAGATATAAGAAGAGTATGATAAAAGTGTGGGAGGCATCTGTTGAATATGGCTTTAGTTCTCATTTTGAACATAATGTAACAGTCACAGTACATTAATGGCTTCCCTACTTTTTTTTAAAGCATTACTTATTACATTACTCATATTTTTCTTTCATATCTCTTACATCTTACATCTTATTCCATGAAATAAGTGCATTCCTGTTGAATGTTCATTCACACTTCAAAATGCAGGTAATATGTTAGCTTCATCAGCACTCACAGTTATAAATTTTCCCTTGTCTTCCAATATATAGGTAATTATATACAATCTTACTATAAAATTTATTATGTTATTGCAATCTGATTATTAAACTAGATTTAGTGAGATGAAAGCAGAAAAGATAGCTACTCACTTTGTCCACTAAATTTGTTTTTTTTATTATTAGACTTTAAGTTCTACGGTACATTTGCACAAAGTGCAGGTTTGTTAAATAGGTATACATGTGCCACGTTGGTTTGCTGCACCCATCAACTCATCATTTACATTAGGTATTTCTCCTAATGCTATCCCTCTCCCAGCTGCCCACCCCCCAATAGGCCCCGGTGTGTGATGTTCCCCTTCCTATGTCCATGTGTTCTCATTGTTCAATTCCCACCTATGAGTGAGAACATGCAGTGTTTGGTTTTCTGTCCTTGTGATAGTTTGCTGAGAATGATGGTTTCCAGCTTCATCCATGTCTCTACAAAGAACATGAACTCATCCTTTTTTATGACTACATAGTATTCCATGGTGTATATGTGCCACATTTTCTTAACCCAGGCTATCACTGATGGACATTTGGGTTGGTTCCAAGTCTTTGCTATTGTGAAGAGTGCCGCAATAAACATACGTGTGTATGTGTCTTTACAGTAGCATGATTTATAATCCTTTGGGTATATACCCGGTAATGGGATTGCTGGATCAAATGTTATTTCTAGTTCTGGATCCTTGAGGAATCACCAATCACCACACTGTCTTCCCCAATGGTTAAACTCATTTACACTCCCACCAACAGTGTAAAAGCTTTCCTATTTCTCCACATCCTCTCCAGCATCTGTTGTTTCCTAACTTTTTAATGGTTGCCATTCTAACTGGCATGAGATGGTATCTCATTGTTGTTTTGATTTGCATTTCTCTGATGACCAGTAATGATGAGCATTTTTTCATGTGTCTGTTGGCTGCATAAATGTCTCTTTTGAGAACTGTCTGTTCATATCCTTTGCCCACTTTTTGATGGGGTTGTTTTTTTTCTTGTAAATTTGTTTGAGTTCTTTGTAGATTCCGGATATTAGCCCTTCGTCAGATAGGTAGATTGCAAAATTTTCACCCAATATGTAGGTTGCCTGTTCACTCTGATGATATTTCTTTTGCTGTGCAGAAGCTCTTTAGTTTAATTAGATCCCATTTGTCTATTTTGGCTTTTGTTGCCATTGCTTTTGGTGTTTTAGTCATGAAGTCTTTGCCCTTGCCTATGTCCTGAATGGTATTGTCTAGGTTTTCTTCTAGGGTTTTTATAGTTTTTAGGTCTAACGTTTAAGTTTTTAATCCATCTTGAGTTAATTTTTGTATAAGGTGTAAGAAAGGGACCCAGTTTCAGCTTTCTATATATGGCTAGCCAGTTTTCCTAACACCATTTATTAAATAGGGAATTTTTTCCCTGTTGCTTGTTTTTGTCAGGTTTGCCATGATCAGATGGTTGTAGATGTGTGGTGTTACTTCTGAGGCCTCTTTTCTGTTCCATTGGTCTATATAACCTGTTTTGGTAACAGTACCATGCTGTTTTGGTTACGGTAGCCTTGCAGTATTGTTTGAAGTCAGGTAGCGTGAGGCCTCCAGCTTTGCTCTGTTTGCTTAGGATTGTCTTGGCTAGGTGGGCTCTTTTTTGGTTCCATATGAACTTTAAAATAGTTTTTCCAATGCTGTGAAAAAAGTCATTGGTAGCTTGATGGGGATGGCATTGAATCTGTAAATTACCTTGGGCAGTATGGCCATTTTCATGATATTGATTCTTCCTATCCATGACCATGGAATGTTCTTCCATTTGTTTTTGTCCTCTTTTATTTCATTGAGCAGTGGTTTGTAGTTCTCCTTGAAGAGGTCCTTCACATCCCTTGTAAGTTGGATTCCTAGGTATTTTATTCTCTTTGTAACAATTGTGAATGGGAGTTCACTCATGATTTGGCTCTCTGTTTGTCTGTTACTGGTTTATAGTATCGGGGGAACCAGCCCCCAATATTTCAATGTAGGTTCTATTTTCCCTAAGTGTCGGCTGGCCTGAGAAATAAAGAAAAAGAGTACAAAGACAGGAATTTTACAGCTGGGCCTCTGGGGGTGACATCACATAACAATAGGTCCGTGATGTCCCCCTGAGCCACAAAACCAGCCGGTTTTTATTAAGGACTTTAAAAGGGGAGAGCATGTATGAACAGGGAGTATATCACGAAGATCACATGCTTTAAAGGGCAATAAAGATCACAAGGCAAAGGGCAAAATTAGAGTTACTGATGAGGGTCTATGTTCAGCTGTGCACATATTGTCTTGATAAACATCTTAAACAACAGAAAACAGGGTTTGAGAGCAGAGAACTGGTCTGACCTCAAACTTACCAGGGCGGGATCTTTTCCCCACCCTAATAAGCCTGAGGGTACTGCAGGAGACCAGGGCGTATTTCAGTCCTTATCTCAACCGCATAAGACAGACACTCCCAGAGCAGCTGTTTATAGACCTCCCCCCAGGAATCCATTCCTTCCCCAGGGTATCAATTATTAATATTCTTTGCTGGGAAAAGAATTCAGCGATATCTCTCCTACTTGCACATCTGTTTATAGGCTCTCTGCAAGAAGAAAAATATGGCTCTATTCTGCCTGACCCCGCAGGCAGTCAGACCTTTGGTTGTCTTCCCTTCTTCCCTAAAATCGCTGTTATTCTGTTCGTTTTCAAGGTGCACTGATTTCATATTGTTCAAACGCCCATGTTTTACAATCAGATTTCATATTGTTCAAACACACATATTCTACAATCAATTTGTACAATAGTGGTCCTGAGGTGATGTACATTTTCAGCTTAGGAAGATAACAGAATTAAGAGATTAAAGTAAAGACTGGCATAAGAAATTCAAAGAGTACTATTTGGGAACTGATAAATGTCCCTGAAATCGTCACAATTTATGTTCAGAGATTGCAGTATAGACAGGTGTTAGAAATTATAAACGTATTAATTTTGGGAACAGATAAATGTCCATGAAATCTTCACAATTTATGTTCCTCTGCTGCGGCTCCAGCCGGTCCCTCTGTTTGGGGTCCCTGACTTCCGGCAACATTATAGGAATGCTTATGATTTTTGCACATTGATTTTGTATCCTGAGACTTTGCTGAAGTTGCTTATCAGCTTAAGGAGATTTTCGGCTGAGACGGTGGGGTTTTCTAAATATACAATCATGTCATCTGCAAATAGGGACAATTGGACTTCCTAATTTCCTAATTGAATACCCTTTATTTCTTTCTCTTGCCTGATTGCCCTGGCCAGGACTTCCAACACTATGTTGAACATGAGTGGTGAGAGAGGGCATCCTTGTCTTGTGGTGGTTTTCAAAGGGAATGCTTCCAGCTTTTGCCCATTCGATATGGTGTTGGCTGTGGGTTTTAAATATCTCTTATTATTTTGAGATACATTCCATCAATACCTAGTTTATTGAGAGTTTTTAGCATGAAGGGCTGTTGAATTTTGTCGAAGGCCTTTTCTGCATCTATTGAGATAATCATGTGGTTTTTGTCATTGGTTCTGTTTAAGTGATGGATTACATTTATTAATTTGTGTACGTTGAACCAGCCTTGCATCCCAGGGATGAAGCCCACTTGATCATGGTGGATAAGCTTTTTGATGTGCTGCTGGATTTGGTTTGCCAGTATTTTATTGAGGATTTTGGCACTGATGTTCATCAGGGATATTGGTCTAAATTTCTCTTTTTTTGTTGTGTCTCTGCCAGGCTTTGGTATCAGGATGATGTTGGCCTCATAAAATGAGTTAGGGAGGATTCCCTCTTTTTCTATTGATTGGAATAGTTTCAGAAGGCATGGTACCAGCTCCTCTTTGTACCTCTGGTAGAATTCAGCTGTGAATCCATCTGGTCTTGGACTTTTTTTGGTTGGTATGCTATTAATTATTGCCTCAATTTCAGAACCTGTTATTGGTGTATTCAGAGATTCAACTTCTTCCTAGTTCTGTCTTGGGAGGGTGTGTATGTCCAGGAATTTATCCATTTCTTCTAGATTTTCTAGTTTATTTGCATAGAGGTGTTTATAGTATTCTCTGATGGTAGTTCATATTTCTGTGAGATTGGTGGTGATATCCCCTTTATCATTTTTATTGAGCATATTTGATTCTTCTCTCTTTTCTTCTTTATTAGTCTTGCTAGCAGTCTATCTATTGTTGATCTTTTCAAAAAACCACCTCCTGGATTCATTGATTTTTGGAACGGTTTTTTGTATCTCCATCTCCTTCAGTTCTGCTCTGATCTTAGTTATTTCTTGCCTTCTGCTAGCTTTTGAATTTGTTTACTCTGGCTTCTCCAGTTCTTTTAATTTTGATGTTAGGCTGTTGATTTTAGATCTTTCCTGCTTTCTCTTGTGGGCATTTAGTACGATAAATTTCCCTCTACATACTGCTTTACATGTGTCCCAGAGATTCTGGTATGTTGTTTCAAAGAACATATTTATTTCTGCCTTCATTTCATTTTTTATCCAGTAGTCACTCAGGAACAGGTTCTTCAGTTACCATGTCATTGTGTAGTTTTGAGTGAGTTTCTTAATCCTGAGTTCTAATTTGATGGCACTGTGGTCTGACAGACAGTTTGTTGTGATTTCTGTACTTTTACATTTGCTGAGGAATGTTTCACCTCCAATTATGTGGTCAATTTTAGAATAAGTGTGATGTGGTGCTGAGAAGAATATATATTCTATTGAGTTGGGGTGGAGAATTCTGTAGATATCTATTTAGGTCCATGTGGTGCAGAGCTGAGTTCACATCCTGGATATCCTTGCTAAACTTCTGTCTCATTGATCTACTATTGAGATTGGGGTGTTGAAGTCTCCCATTATTATTGCATCGGAGTCTAAGTCTCTTTGTAGGTCTCTAAGGACTTGCTTTATGAATCTGGGTGCTCCTGTATTAGGTGCATATATATTTAGAATAGTTAGCTCTTCTTGTTCAATTGATCCCTTTACCATTATGTAATGACCTTGTCTCTTTCGATCTTTGTTGGTTTAGTCTGTTTTATCAGAGATTAGGATGGCAACCCCTGCTTTTTTTGCTTTCCATTTGCTTGGTAGATCTTCCTCCATCCCTTTATTTTGAGCCTATGTGTGTCTCTGCATGTGAAATGGGCCTCCTGAATACAGCACACTGATGGTTTTGACTGTTTATCCAATTTGCAAGTCTGTGTCTTTTAATTGGGGCATTTTGCCCATTTACATTTAATAGTGTTATGTGTGAATTTGATCCTGTCATTATTATGTTTGCTGGTTACTTTACCCCTTAGTTGATGTAATTTCTTCATAGTGTAGATGGCCTTTGCAATTTGGCATGTTTTTGCAGTGGCTGGTACTGATTGTTCATTTCCATGTTTATTGCTTCCTTCAGGACCTCTTGTAAGGCAGGCCTGATGGTGACAAAATCTCTCAGCATTTGCTTGTATGTAAAGGATTTTATTTATCCTTCACTTATGATGCGTAGTTTGGCTGGATATGAAATTCTGGGTTGAAAATTCTTTTCTTTAAGAATGTTGGATATTGGCCCCCACTCTTCTGGCCTGTAGGGTTTCTGCTGAGACATCCGCTGTTAGTCTGATGGTTTTCTCTTTGTGGGTAACCCGACCTTTCTCTCTGGCTGCCCTTAACATTTTTTCCTTCATTTCAACCTTGGTGAATCTGACAATTATGTGTCTTGGAGTTGCTCTTCTCGTGGAGTATCTTTGTTGTATTCTCTGTATTTCCTGAATTTGCATGTTGGCCTGCCTTGCCAGGTTGGGGAAATTCTCCTGGATAATATCCTGAAGAATATTTTCTAACTTGGTTCCATTCTCCCTGTCACTTTCAGGTACACCAATCAAATGTAGATTTGGTCTATTCACATAGTCCCATATTTTTTGGAGGCTTTGTTCATTTCTTTCTACTCTTTTTTCTCTAATCTTGTCTTCTCACTTTATTTCATTAATTTGATCTTCAATCACTGATATCCTTTCTTCCACTTGATTGAATCAGCTATTGATGCTTGTGCATGCGTCACGAAGTTCTCATGCTGTGGTTTTCATCTCCATCAGGTCATTTAAGGTCTTCTTTACACTATTTATTCTAGTTAGCCATTCATCTAACCTGTTTTCAAGAGTTTTAGCTTCCTTCCAGTGGGTTAGAACATGCTCCTTTAGCTCAGAGAAGTTTGTTATTACCGACCTTCTGAAGCCTACTTCTGTCAATTCATCAAAGTCATTCTCTGTCCAGTTTTGTTCTGTTGCTGGTGAGGAGCTGCGATCCTTTGGACAAGAAGAAGTGCTTAGGTTTTTGGAATTTTCATCTTTTCTGCTCTGGTTTCTCCCCATCTTTGTGATTTTATCTACCTTTGGTCTTTGATGTTGGTGACCTACAGATGGGGTTTTAATGTGGATGTCCTTTTTGTTGATATTGATGCTATTCCTTTCTGTTTGTTAGTTTTCCTTCTAACAGGCCTCTCAGCTGCATGTCTGTTGGAGTTTGCTGGAGGTCCACTCCAGACCCTGTTTGCCTGGGCATCACCAGCAGAGGCTGCAGAAGAGCAAGTATTGCTGCCTGATCCTTCCTCTGGAAGCTTCATCGCAGAGGGGCACCCACCTGTATGAGGTATCTGTCGGCCCCTACTGGGAGATGTCTCCCAGTCAGGCTATACGGGGATCAGGGGCCCCCTTAAGGAGGCAGTCTGTCCATTCTCAGAGTTCCAACACCATGCTGGAAGAACCACTTCTCTCTCAGAGCTGTCAGACAGGGATGTTTAAGTCTGAAGAAGTTGTCTGCTGCCTTTTGTTCAGCTATGCCCTGTCCAAAGAGGTGGAGCCTATAGAGGCAGTAGGCATTGTTGAGCTGTGGTGGGCTCCACCCAGTTTGAGCTTTCTGGCTGCTTTCTTTACCTACTGAAGCCTCAGCAATAGCAGACCCCCCTCCCTCCACCCGGCTGCAGCCTCTCAGGTCAATCTCAGATTGCTGTGCTAGCAGTGAGCAAGGCTCCATGGGCGTGGGATCCACTGAGCCAGACATGGGAGGGAATCTCCTGGTCTGCTGGTTGCTAAGACCATGGGAAAAGCACAGTATTTAGGCAGAAGTGTACCATTTTTCCAAGTACAGTCTGTCACAGCTTCCCTTGGATAGGTAAAGGAAATCTCCTGACCCCTTGCATTTCCCGGATGAGGTGACACACTGCCCTGCTTCAACTCACCCTCTGTGGGCTGCACCCACTGTCCAACCAGTGCCAATGATGATGAACCAGGTACCTCATTTGGAAATGCAGAAATCACCTGTTTTCTGTGTTGGTCTCACTGGGAGCTGCAGATCGGAGCTGTTCCTATTCGGCCATCTTCTATCCACTAACCTTCAAATTCTCACACCCGGAGGTTAGTTTCAGAAGATCATAGAATTTGTCATTGTGTTCAGGTACTTAGTATCTCATCTTTAAATAATAAAAAAGCATTGTCTGACACTGTTTTAAAACTATATTTAGAAATACCAAGAATTTAATAGCCAAGATAACTTTGAAAAAGAACAAAGGTTGAGGATTTACATGATTAAACATCAAAACTTGGTATAAAGCTAAAGTAAATCAAATAGTAAGGTATTAGAACAAGCATGGACACCTAGAATAATAAAACAGAAAACAGATCAGAAACAGACCTTTCTATATACAGTCACCTGATTTTTGACAAAAGCACTACTACAATTTAGTGTGAGGAATGGCCTTTTCAATAAAAGGTGCTGGATCAACTGGATATCTATGAGGAAAAATTTATTTTGACCCCTCCTCAAACCCTATACAAAAGTGAGTTTGTGATTTGAAAAAATCACATCAACTAGATCTGAGACCCTGCTGAGAAATGTAAAATAATGTAACCTCTTAAAAAAGAATGTAGGACATTATTTTTATAATGTTGGGATAGGCAATGATTTTCCAAATTGTACATAACTATAACTAACCATAATTGATAAATTAAACTTTCATAAAATTAACAATTTCTGTTCATCAAAAGACACCATTTAGAGAGTGAAAAGCCAAGCCACACACTGGGGAAAATTACTAAAAATACAAAAATTAGCCGGGTGTGGTGGCACACACCTGTAATCCCAGCTACTTGGGAGGCTGAGGGGAGAATCGATTGAACTCGGGCAGCAGTGGTTGCAGTAGCCGAGATTGCACCATTGCACTCCAGCCTGGGAAACAAGAGTGACACTTGATCTCAAAACAACAAGAACAAAAAAGACTTAGCACTTATTACGTAGTCATTGCTTCCATTTGTGTATATTGACATATACACAAATGAAATACATATTACATTTATAGTAATATGTATTTCAATACATATTACTATATATGTAATTTTATATATAAATTAAAATTTATATATAATAAATTTTTACTTATATATTTAATAAATATATGTAATTATATATATTTGTATATATACAAATATATAATATTAATACATTTATTATATTATATATAATAAATGTATTATTGCTGCTATCTATAAACACACACTGTGTTGCTATTACTCCTGTAATCCCAGATGGGAAGGGATTTACTGTGAGAAAGTTGAACCTCAACTGGAAAAGTATATGGTTTTGGGGTTTTGTTTGTTTGGGTTGTGGAAAAATAGATGTCAGAAAACAAAGTGGATATCAAGATACTAGAACAGTAAGAATTTAGGTCTGGGTCTGGAAACGACATTCGAACATCAATATGTAATAGTAGTTCATGTCCAAAACTCACAAGTGAGATTATCAAACTCCAGGGGAGTCTATTAATGTGGCCATAAAATCTACCCCATAATTTTGACATAATTTTTCCAGCCCAAAATACAACTGACATCATCTTATGGGTCCGGAAGTGCCATACACCAAGCAAAATTTCTACCGGAGAAATAACACCGTAATCGTTTGGGGAGCAGCCTGACCAGTGTTCCCTGAGTTACGCCGACCGCCCCCAACCATCCTTCTCACCTAATTATTACCAGGTCAGGAAGATGTCCTGCTGCACGCTCAGGCGGTCACTCCTCCTTTCCACAAGGCCCATGTCCGCACCGTTCGCCCCGGGGCTCCCATGGCCCCCGACCTCCAGTCTCCGGCAACGATGGACCCTCACAGACACGGCAGGGAGCGAAGGGCGCACACTCACCTCCCTGGAGTCAGTGGGAATAACCCCGGGCGCTCTGAGGGTACGTCCCACACCCGGAGCCGCACGGGCCCATCCCCGCCAGGTCCGGGCAGGCAGCCCGAGCCCGGGACCCCGCCTCCCCCGCACCTAGGGTCCGGGCCGAGCTTGGCAGCTGAGGTCCCGCTCCCACTCCCACTCCCAGCGCCTCCCCCTGGCGGCGGCGGCCGCCTGGGAGGCCCCTCCCCGGGCGCTGCCTCCTCAGAGGGTGACGGCCGCCTGGCCGGGCCGGACAGAGGCCGGCCCCTCTTCCAGCTCCTCCTCACCCCCCGGAGGAGACGGGGGACGGGGATGGGGTTCTAACCAGGCAGCAGGACACAGCAAGGCCAGCCACGGCACAGCCTCCTCCTCCACCATCTCACCAGGCTCCCTGCCAGGGCCGGCGCAGGGCAGCGCCTGAGCTACTAGGGAGTCTGGTCCGGCTGCTGCTCCGCCGCCGCCGCCGCCTTCTCACAGCCACAACAACACTGCAGCAGCGACCACACAGAGCGCGCTCCCGACGCCGAGCCGGGCGACGAGCGGGGACGCGCTCGCACGCTCGGGCGCTGAACCCGGTGTCCGGGGAAGGGGGCGGGTCTCCGCGGGTTGGACGGGGGCGGGGCCTGGACAGGTGGTCACGCCCCAGGAGATGGGAGGGGCTGCAGCCCAGACGAATACCTGCGGCTGGGGAGAGGCTCGCGAAAAAGACGAGCGGAGGCAGAAGGGCTAGACAGATGGGAATTGGGCGCAGGAAAAGCGATGACAAAAAAAATATCTGGAAGAAAACCAAAGGTGGTCCTACAAATTTTTAGGAGGCGTCTTTCCCTGGGGAAGACATGGCTCACTCTACTTACCAGAAAAATAGAACAACAGTGGTATCTTTCACCTGCAATTGTGGTCAGGATAAAACCAGTTTAATATAGTGCAAGTAAATGTAGTGTTTTAGAAGATGTATTCAGAATACAATTTCGTTTTTTCTTTTCTTTTTTTTTTTTCTTTTTTTCTTTTGAGACAGAGTCTGGCTCTGTCTCCCAGGCTGGAATGCAGTGACATCTCAGCTCACTGCAAACTCCGCCTCCTGGGCTCAAGCGATCCTCCCACCTCAGCCTCCTGAGTAGCTGGGACTACAGGCGCAGAACATCATGCCCGGCTAATTTTTGTATTTTTTGTAGACATGGAGTTTCTGCCATTTTGTCCAGGCTGGTCTCGAACTCCTGGGCTCAAGCAATCCACCCACCTCGGCCTCCCAAAGCACTGGGATTACAGGCATGAAGCACCGCACTCGATCCAGAATACAATTTCAAACTGATTCAACTTCAGCTCCTAATCAAAAGCTTAGCGGGAAGAAGTGAATTTTCAAACAAAATAAAGCCCTCCCCCCAAAATTGTAACCTACCCACACTAGCCTGCGGAATTCCACAAACCAGGATTGCATTACCGTAGGCCCTAACAGATTCACCTCTGAGTTGCCTTTTAACATTCTACCCTTGATTTTTCTGGAAACTGGGAGAACTAGTCAAATGAAATCTATTCCTGCATCTGTTGTAAAGTTTTTCCACAGCACTTTCTGAAATTTATTTTCAATGTTTATTGTTTTTTCACTCCACTTAGAATGTAAAAGCTACTTGAAGATGAGGATCTTGTTTGTCTTGTTCATCACTATTTCCCCAGCACCTGAAACTGTGCAGGCTAAGTAGTAGGCAGTCGGATTTCTTGATAGCTGGCTGGGCGCAGTGACCCACGGCTGTAATCCCAGCACTTTGAGAGGCTGAGGCGGGTGGATCACCAGAGGTCAGGTGTTCGAGACCAGCCTGGCCAATATGGTGAAAACCCGGATCTACTAAAAATGCAAAAATTAGCCGGGCATGATGGCAGGCGCCTGTAATCCCAGCTAATTGGGAGGCTGAGGCAGGAGAATAGCTTGAACCCGGGAGGCGGAGGTTGCCATGGGCCAAGATTGCGTCACTGCACTCCAGCCTGGGCGCAGAGCGAGACTCTGTCTCAAAAAAATAAATAAAATAAAATAACAGCTAACACTTATTCATACAACTCATCTAATTGAATCTTCACAACTTTAATAGGTAGACGCCGTTATCTCCATGTTACAGATGAAGAAAGTGAAGCACAGAATAAATTGCACGTATTAAAATTCAAACCCAAACCCAGAAGACAAACAAAACAAAACAAAACAAAAAAAACCACTGTGCTCTCACCCACCAGGCTGTACTGCCCAGTGCATGACACAGTAGCCTGAAATAAAATCTCAAGTAAGAAATTACTTTAGGCTGGGCGCAGTGTCTCATGCCTGAAATCCCAGCACTTTAGGAGGCCAAGGTGGGTGGATTGCTTGAACTCAGGAGTTCCAGACCAGCCTACGCAACATGGCAAAATCCCACCTCTACAAAAAATACCAAAAAACTGGCCAGGCATGGTGGTGCGTGCCTGTAGTCCCAGCTATTTGAGAGGCTGAGGTGGGAGGATGGCTTGAGCCTGGGAGGCAGACGTTGTAGTGAGCCCTGATTGTGCCACTGCACTCCAACTGGGTGTCAGAGCGAGAAAAAAGAAAGAACAAAAGAAATTACTTTAGAGGTAAATTCTTGGAAAGCCCTTGCTTTACTACCAGGAAAACCAGCGCGCTTCCTGCTTTTTGATAACTCTTATGCAGCTGATTGTGTCTCTCTTTTCACTCTGGCTTCCAGAAAGCCCAGGGCTAAATGACCAGGGCTCAGCAATGACCTCTGCTTGGCCCTTAAGGTCCACTCCTGCCTCAACTTTGCACCTTTATTTATATGTGGCTGTCCTGATTTTCCCTTTCTGTTGTATGACTGTAGGCTTTATGGAATGGGAGAAGAAATAGTAGATACATAAAATTGATGAATGACTTAAAGTCTTTTATTTTATTTTTTGAGACGGAGTTTCGCTTTTGTTGCCCAGGCTGGAGTGTAATGGCGGGAACTTGGCTCACTGCAACCTCCACCTCCTGGGTTCAAGCGACTCTCCTGCCTCAGCCTCCTGAGTAGCTGGGATTACAGGCATGAGCCACAACACCAGGTTAATTTTTTGTATTTTTAGTAGAGACAGCGTTTCTCCATGTTGATCAGGCTAGTCGCCAACTCCTGACCACATGTGATCCGCCTGTCTCGGCTTCCCAAAGTGCTGGGATTACAGCCGTGAGCCACCATTCCTGGCTCATTTTTATTTTTATATTTTATTTTATTTTATTTTCACACAAGGCCTCACTCTGTTGCCCAGGCTGGAGTGCAGTGGCTCACAGCCACCAGGTGAGTTGGGCCCACAAGTCACCCTTGCTAAGAGGCAGAGTCCAGAGCAGGACATGGGTAGATGCCAAAGGCAGCACTCCCTACTCCACACATGGGTTTCTTTCAAGTAAATCACCAGCCAGGTGAGGTGCATACAGCATCTCGGGAGATGGGACACCATATTGTCCCCTCCTTCAGCCAGGAGGCCCCACACTGAGCGCCACTGCCTCCACTGTCCGTTGCTACAGGAGAGACGTTTCCTGCTGGTTAAGGAAGTGGAAACTGCAGATCACTTTTCATCTTATTGGAAATCACTCTTTGACACTTTTGCCTCATCTTCACTCAGTACACATTGACTCTACCAGCAATGGTGTAAAAATAAACACAGCTTAAGGAAATAGGAACCCTTTATTCCTGGGACTTAAAAGCTTGACTTTCTCCAGTAAGTCAATTACCAGTGTCCATGGCAGGAACAGCTCTGATGCCAGGGTTGACAGCACACTGGAAAACAGGAGGGTGTTTGCATTTCTGGGGCCTCAAGTAATGAGAGGTTCTTCCAAGAACACTGACAGGGGTATTGTTGCCCTATTTTAGAATTATTACTGTGAAGATCAGGGAATTTCAGTCGGTTGAACTCATGCCACAGCACCTGTGCTTTTCCAGTAGGGGAGGGATGGAGTCCAGGGCAGGGGTCCCCCGTCATGGGGGAAAGCACTGTGATGGGATGGCTGTGGGGGAATTAGAACCCTATAGCAGATGGGATAGGGTGGGGAGTCTACATATTTTTATTTGGATGCTTTGATGGAGTAAAGTTCCAAACCAAGCAAGTATCAGGCAGAGGGCAGTCCAGGCTGTGGTGCTGTGCTGTGAGGCTGGGAGTCCAGGCAGGTCCTGTGTTCACTGGTCACTTCCACAGCCTGAAGCCCCTCGAAAGGACATCTGCACAGAGGCCTGCAAGTGACTTCAGGATGCTGATGATGCCCTCAAGGTGACAGCCAGAGAAAATCCCATCAACTCTGCCAATCAAGGGCATCAATGGCCACGTGTGTGGTTTTCTCCGGCAAAGAACAAGCCAGTTTGCAAACCATGCTTTTGAAGCTAGAAAAAATGTCTGTATTCCTTCAGTGTCTCCTGAAGGCTGGGTCCCCTGAGAGTTGATTCAAATACCGTATTCTCGTATAAAATATGGTAACATTTAGACCTGAAAAATGGCCTGGGGGATAATCTTATCAAACCTCTGATGTGGTTATTTTCTAACTGAGTATATTGAAGGCTGGGGAACAAAGCCATCTGGTGCCAGCATCCTAGCTGCTCTCTCTCCTCCAGGGGCTTGCCTTGGTTTGGGGCCTTTCCAGCAAAATTAGGCTGGAGAAATGAGATTTTAGTTAAACAAGGCCCACTGTTGCTTTAAAACAAAATGTCAAAGTTTTTAAAAATGTATTAACTAGTTCTTTTGGCCAAGAAATCAATAGATGCACTTCCTTTCCACTGTGCAGGCTCTGAGCTGACAGAGGAGTAAGAGCTTGAACCATCTACGTGGTCTGAGTGACCACATCCTTCACTCAGAGCCCTGTTCTACAGCAGATAATTCTGAGTCACCCCAGCTAATGGCCGTGCACAGCATCCTGATGCTCTGATTAGGCTGAAGGGCATGTGGCGTGGTGGCTAGGCTGTCTCAGAGAGCACCTCAGGCTGGGTGGACCAGGCTGACCCAGAAAAAGGCAATGGGCCTTTGACAGGGACTAGCTGGCTACTATCTGCCTCTTCTGCAGTTTGGGACACTTAGGGTGATGGGTGAAAGTGTTTTTCCATATATAGTGGACCGAAAGGAAAGGATACTCATGCCAGTGTTCAGAAAGTGTGTGGGTTTCTCAGGTAACATTACTGCAGCCACTGATGTCTAATCCAAAGAGCTCTGAATGCTTGCTATAGAGATTTGTAGTTTTAATACTGAAGCCCCGAATATTCTGATTTCCTCATTAAGACCGACCTAACATGAGCTATGTAGTCAGCTAAGGTATCAACGGAAGGAAATTGCCAGTGGTTTCCCTCTTATTTTCCTCTGAGGTCATCTGAAAACAACTGCAGTGAGGACAGAGTTCGTGTGGCACTGATGGCTGTGTGTTCCCAGGTCCAAGCATGCACTAAATATTTAATTCATTTGAATATAA
Source organism: Homo sapiens (assembly GCF_000001405.40). Classification (NCBI taxonomy): domain Eukaryota; kingdom Metazoa; phylum Chordata; class Mammalia; order Primates; family Hominidae; genus Homo; species Homo sapiens. The sequence goes on along the minus strand of NC_000021.9, from coordinate 6,853,595 downwards.
ATAAGTTAATAAATATGAATACATTAATAAATTAATTGGCATATTTTTAGTCCTGTTGCAGTTTCAAACTCACCGATTTGTCCAACTTCTTTGCACTGAGTTCTTATTCAAGTGAAGTATTCCAGTCTTGTGACTAGTACTTCTGACATAGTAATAGTAACAACTAATATTTATTTAGAACTTTAGTTTACCAAGCACACTACATTTTATTTTATAATTTATTATTTATTTATTTATTTATTTTTTTAGTAGAGACAGGGTTTCACCATGTTAGCCAAGATGGTCTCGATCTCCTGATCTCGTGATCCGTGCCCCTCGGCCTCCCAAAGTGCTGGGATTACAGGCATGAGCCATCGCACCCAGCCTACATTTTATTTTTACATTTTGTCTTTACAAACCCCCACGGGGCAGGCATTCTCCTTACACACAGTGTTAATTGGTGACACAGAGGCTCAGGGGTTTAAATGGTTTCACTGCAAGCAATGTAATCTAGTAGGATGTTGCTTTCCTATTTTTCCTAATACTACCATGTTTAGATGTGGGCGGCTGAGTGAGAGTATATGATTTCCTGTGTATGTATAGATGTAACCCACACTCACAGGCGGAAAGTTCTGCAGGCCGAGAAGCGAAGCCCTCTGCTGAACAACCACCAACAACATTCTAGGATCCCCACACCCTTGGTTCTGCAGGCTACACCCCTCCCATCTGCTTAGAACCAGAAAGAAAACTCTGCCTCTGCGGTTACTTTTCCCTTTCACAATAAACCGTGGTTCTCTTCAACGTTCTCCTGGGGACTTGGGTCACTGTTCCCCCACGCAAATGTTAGCCAGGCCGAGAGTTATTTTTTTCCCTACCCCTGCAGATTGATCATGGCATGCAGCTGCCCCATACTGTATTTTGGTCACCCCCATCAGCATCCCATCTGCTGCTTGTGCCTCTGGCCAGCTTCTTGCATGGTTCTGACATGGTGCTGTCACTCTCACATTATTTGCACACATTGTTTACCTATAGCTGGACACATTGTTCATAGGAGCCCAGCTGGTAAGGTAAAAATATTCCAAGACTGTGCTGATAAGCTACTTCTTCCCTGCATCCTGGGCTGGTGAGAAGCTAAAGAGGAATGAATGCTCTGCCTGTGAAGAGGCCGCACTGCAGAGAGGAGGAGGCAGAGATGCAGTCGTCACAGCCCCAACACCCTGCCTGGACCTGGTTTTGTAGATCCAGGGAAGAGTTTTGCACAAATTCTCACTGGGAGCATTGTCAGGGCTGCAGCACATCACTCTTTTTTGACCTGAGTCATTTTAACATTAGCTCTAATGCCAAAAAAGATGAAATTGAAGTTGCCAACATCTGGTGGAAGGCAAAAACCAGCGAATTTCTACCCAGGGAGAGTTCCTCTGCAGGGCCCCTGCTCCTGGTGGCCTGGAGTTGGGGAGGCCTCTGGAGCAAGTCAGGGGATGGGATTCTGGGTTTTCTTCCATTTTAGTATTTTCCTATTTTGACATCTTTGAAAAATGGCTCAGCCTCATGGTGTATGGGTCTTCTGATTGCTTTTGTCTTGATTTTATTCTGACTGAGGGGCAATGGCCACTGTGGGCTCCTCATCCAGGATGAAGAGGGCCCCTCCATGGCCTGGGTCCATCCATGCTGTTCACGGTGGCCTCATGGATCATCATACAAAGGATGATCTCAGTGATGAGCTTGAGCCTATGCAAAATTAAATTATATGGGTTTATAAGATGCTTGCCTCAGGATCAGTGACATCAGGCCTGTCCCTGCTGCTAGCAAGGCCAACTTTATAATGTGCTATCATGGTGGTAAAGGCATCACCCACTTGATGGAGATCCCAAAGACCAGCTCTACTCAAGACAGATTTAAGCTAAGTTGCCTGGGAGTCCCTGGTGCTTTTTCAAGGTTCTACTGAAGACAATGCCATCATCCAGGTATCTCTGAATGCCTACGTAGCTCTTGCCTCAGGAGCTCTGAGACCCCATGTTATCTATTTTTGAATTGGCCAAGGCCCCTAGCCAGGAAAGGGATGCTCTTCCCATCCTTGTCAGCCCTCGTGTCTTGTATTCCACCCCACAGCCTCCTAGCAAGCATCTCAGTGTCTGCAGGTGAGCATGGCTGAGTTCAGTCTTGCTTACTGCAACTATAGACATGAGGCCTGTGGAACTAAGAATCCTCTCATTTGCTGACTGGCATTTTGTTTAAGTCCCAGATCACTAATCTCTGGCAAGACAGTCCTCTTTGTGTTTCCTGGTGATGGACTTGAGTGATTTCAATGTAAACAGTGGCTCCACCTGGGAGGGTATCCCCTTCCCACGGGGAGGGGGTGCATAGCCCCTGCGAGGTTTCTGCTGTCGTCTCATCCTCCCACTGGGCTTTTCCCCTGCAGATGGCCTGGTGCCCACACTGCCTGCAAATGGCCACTCTTGCTTGTCCCAACCCCACCTTCACTGCAGCTTCCCAGAGCCCTAGAAGGGCCGGGCCCTGGCTGAGCACTATTCCTAGGCCCTGGATGGCGGGTGTGGAACTATGTACTTGTCAAGGTCATTTCCTCTTCTATTTTCATCATATTAAGTAAATCCCTCTCTCATCATGAAATGCCCTGGAGAGAACAGATGCATAGCTGTGGAGTCTTGTTCTGGGATATGTCAGGTATGGGCTCAGGTGTGTGGAGGCTACAAGGGGTGGACAGGAATGGTCTTTCTCTCACTGTGAATTGCATGTTTTGTGCCAGCCCAAGGGTTCTGTGGAGGAGAATCAGCTGTTCACCTGGCTGAGTCTAACCCTGGGATGGTGACAGCCGAAACCCCAGCTCCATTCCATGACCTTCCCTAGGCTGCTGCATGGGTTCCCTGGCACTGTCACTGGGCTAATGCATTCTATCTCCTCCTGGGATGAGGCCAGCCTTTAGTCATAGTTTCTGCCCATTCCACATCATTCTGCCTCCCACCCTTGGCTTTTTCAAAAATCCGATCCAAGCGTGTGCAAGGGGGCTAGAAACATGCTGTCCACAGGGAGCTAAAATACACTAAGTTGAGAAACCAGCAGCACATGCTTTGGAGCTCTCACACCTTCTGGGAACTGAAAAGCAAACTCTCAGAGATGCCTGGAAATCTTGGGAGCACACGAGGTCTCTGCATATATTTCAGCTGCAGATGAGTTTCTAGTCAAAGTAAAAAACACACGAAGGGCATTCACGTTTCCAGGAACAGAAGCATCCTGTTTGGTTTTTCAGAGGTGAAGGGAGCAGTCTGAAGGGGCCGTGGCATAGGTGTGTCTACAATCAAAGCTCACAGCCAAGGCCCTGGGGGAGGTTCAGGTGTGCCCCAGGGGGTGCGCCCCATCCAGCACTCCACTGACAGGGGCCTTGTCTTTATTAAATTCTAGGCCTTTTCCTGGGCACTAGTTACAAAAGGGGGGTTCAATGAACCCTAGGTTCTGTGGCTGCCACCCATCTCAGGGTTGCACAGGTAATGATCACCACCCCCTCCACCTTCTGCTGAGGGTCCTGGTGACCCCCTGGTGGTGTAACCCAGGCCCTCACCCCTAAGGGGCCCTCAGCCTTGCCCACCACAGAGTCCTTGGTCTAGGGCTCCCGCACTTGTCCACATGCCATCAAGTGCTGTGTACCAGGAGGTACTTGCGTGGAGCGCTTTCTTCCCCAGGCAGCGCAGCCCTGCTCCTGCTGACACCATGGTCCAGGTGGTACCCATTTTTCTGCCCGCAGGTCCCATGGAGGAGCAGCCTGAGGACAAAGCAGCACCCAGAGCTTGTTTTTTTCAGAGAACCTGGCCCTGCCCTGGCTAGAAGCCCCACAGCTGTGGAAACCAGGACCTCCTGCTTTTCAGAGCCTAGATGTGCAGGATATAGATGCACCTCAGAGGTCCTGGGTATGATGTGGAAGGTTGGGGGACACTGGGCTTCCTACTGCTGTGCTCCAATTGCCACATCTTCTACCTGGTGGGACAAGGCAGCTAACAAAGGTGACAGATTCATGCAGACACTGTGTCCTCCCACATCCTGACCTGGCACCTGAGCCACACTGCTGGGTCTGAAGCTCCCAGGAGCATGTGTGTGCTGTGACCAGTGGACCTATGGCATGTGCCCTCTTCCTCCCTCTGTGGCGTGAAATCAGTTCCTCTGATGGTGTCATGTGAGGTCTTGTCCTGATGGGTAGAACTTTCTATAAACCATCCCATGGCCCCGGGGAAAGGCAAACTCATCCCTTCAGGTTTAGCTGTTTCTGTTAAATGCAACCCTGTCCTTCCCAGGGCATCAGGTCCCAGTGCAGTTGTCCCAGCCTGGCAGGAACTCTCCTTGAGGATTGTGTGGAGGGCGCAGCCTGGGCCTGACTCATGACCCTGGCAAAGGGCAGGTGAGCCCTGGGGCTGACCACCTGCACTTTCTGTTTGGTGGTGGGAGACGTGGGGCAATATTTCTTGCCTTTCCTTTAGAGAGCATCTCCCAGCCTGCCCAGACCATTAGACCCCTAGAAATGTGACTTGTAGGCAGGGCCTGGCTCTCCGTGGTGCTTTTCTCTCCCCTCCAAGCACCTGTGACTCTCAGGCATCCAGCCCTGCTGGCTTCCCCCATCTGAGCTCCTGATGCAGGGTGAGGACTGTATTGTGGCAGACAGCATGCCGGTTTACACAGTTCTGGGAGAAAACTATAGGTATACATTATTTTATGTCCCAAGTAAATGAATCCCATTTATCGATACTTTTTTTGGCACAGAGGGAAGAAATGCATTGGTGAGATCCATGGGCCAGAGTTCAGGCCTGTGCTCAGGCTCTGGCAGCAGCTGTGCAGCTCTGGAGCTGTTGCGGAGTGGGGAGGTGCTGTGTCTTTGCTCCCGGGTTAAAGGCTTTATTTGTTTCTTTGTTCAGTTTGTTTTCTTTGACCCCTGTTCAGCAATACTGAAAATCAAGCATTCCTAAGAGGTGGAGACACGGCTTTGGAGCAGGGGTGGGCCATTGGGTGGAAATGGAAAATAGGTTGATAGTGGGAATTTCATTTTCTGGAGCACATGTGCAGCCTCTTGATGGCCTCGTCACAAGTTCACCTGATGACGTGAGTGGCCACTGTCCTTCTCCTGATCAGGTTGCATGCTTGCCACGCACATGAGCAGTGCACGCTCACATTCTTCAAAGTGAACGAACTAAGAAGGATTTGTCAGCAGATTGTAAGCCTGAAGCTGCCAGTGTTTGGTCCACAGTAAACCACATGTGGAGAGCTTAAAAAAATGCCCTCAAATCTGGCAAGAAAATGACAATAATAAATTAAATTATTACCGTAATACACATTTCTTTAGTTACAATTAGATGTATTACACATATAACTAACAATTTTGCAGAAGTTTCTCATCTACCAGTATTTATTTACTTTTTTATAAGTTTCCAAGGAACCCTAATGATGGGGAGTGTCTCTTTTAAAATTAAATTTTGTAAATAACTCCCAGAGCCATACTGGTAAGAAACAAAACAAAACTAAAAGAACTAGAAACGTGAACAAACATTGGATTTCTGCTGGAAAAAAGGTTGCAAAGCAGGCCTGCCTGCTGCACTTCCCCAGAGCTAATCCTTGAGCCGAAAGAGCTTTCTGGTGAAGCCTCGCACTCTCTGTAACAGGGTGTGGGGGGCACCAAGACATGCGGGCTCCAGACTTGACCATCTTTACCTACTCATGGGATTTCAATCTTGTCTTTTAAATTCTTTGAGCTGCAGTTTTCACATATGTAAAGTGAAAGTATTTTTAAAATTGTAATTTGTGTTATGGCCTTGTATAAAGATAAAATAGTACATTTGAAAGCATTTTAGCTGAAGTCAAACGTTCACGTGTGTGCATGCAATGGCTTCTTAATTATTTTAGGGCTTAACCTGGTTTCACTAGTACTGTTACTAGCACTGCTACTTCTCCATGTCTCTGAAGACTATGAAATACTTAGAACTGAAGCAACAAGAAGCACCTGTCAAAGGGTTCTATGGCCGATGACAGATTTGACACAACTGGATATAATAATATGTTAGATGGTACCCAGAGATGCTGTTCAAAGTCAAAAGTGTCCCTAGAATTCTGAACCTGCTGAAGCAGCCTTCAGAACTGAAGTTGAGAAAAGTACATTTTCAGTTAAAGAAAGTCTGTGAGACTGTGTTGCCATCGAACCCAAACCACGATAAATGCAAAAGAAACTTGATCAGGATGAAGAAAAATAATAATTGGAAATTCTAGTTCACAGAAAAGATGAAAATGTGCCAAAAATAGTAAATATGTGGAGGGGAAATTACTGTTTGGATGACATCCTCCAGGAATTACAACACGTACAGAAGAAAAATCTATGACAACATGGCACAAAAGATGAGAGGATGGTAAGGTAAGGTTTTTATATTTTATATACAGTGTTATGATATTTAATATACATTAAGTATTTATATTTTAATTTCTGAACAACTCACCAAAAATAAATAAATGAAACAAAGTCATAGTTAAAAAAAAAAACAGGGTACAAAATCCATACTAAAAAAAAAAAAGAAAACCCCATAAAACAAACAAACAAACCAAAACTGCAATAATCCAGAAGAAGATCAGGAAGGCGGAACACAGACTGTCAAAGTAGGTAAAAAGGAAACCTCAATATCCACTTTTAAAAAGAAATACACTTATGAGATAAAGATATAAATAGATTCGAACTGAAAAGATGGACAAATATACACTATGCAATCTTTTTTATCAAAAACTGCAGCCAGTGTATTAATGGCAGGTAAGACACACTGCAAGAAAGGCAAGCATCACCAGGGATAAAGAAGGATGTTTTATACCAATAAGCCCATTTGCTTAGAAAACCTAATAAGCATAAGCATGCATGCACCTAAGAAACACAGCAAAATACATGAAGCAAAAGTTATTGAATTAAAAGAATAAATGCATAAATCCACAATTTGACAATTCTAATTATTATATCTCAGAAATCAATAGAAAAAATAACTACAACAATAAGACTACAGGTATTAATAGGAGAGATTATAACCAGAGCACCAGGAGAAAAACAGCAATATCCAATATGCTTACAACTATTGGTTGACAACTCAAAAGTTCCCAAAAGAATTTTTGACACTAAATAAAGGTAAATAGCCTGGAAAGCCTGCAAGCCAGCATAGGAAGGAAGTGGAAAATGAAATGGTGATGGAAAATAAATCTGGAAGTCCGGGCGTGGTGGCTCATGCCTGTAATCCCAGCACTTTGGGAGGCCAAGGTGGGTGGATCACCTGAGGTCGGGAGTTCGAGACCATCCTGACCAACATGGAGAAACTCTGTCTGTACTAAAAATACAAAATTAGCCGGGTATGGTGGTCCATTCCTGTAATCCCAGTTACTTGGAGGCTGTGGCAGAAGAATTGCTTGAACCCAAGAGGCGGAGGTTGTGGTGAGCTGAGATCTCCCCATTGCACTCCAGCCTGGGCAATAAGAGCAAAACTCTGTCCCCCCAAAAAAAGAGAAAAGAAAAGAAATCTGAAAAAAGGAAAAGAGAATTGAGGATAAAGCTTTGCAAATACAAAATCCAAAATCAAATGATAGAAATAAGTTCAAATATATCACTTTTTCCTACCAAACATAGAGGGATTAACCTCATATATTAAAATACAAAATTATCAATAACAAAGCAGCACTTTCAAATTAAAGAAATAAAAAAATAAAAATTTTATAAAAATTTTAAGTAAATATTCACAGAAAGCAAGCTGCTATCACAAAATTAATTTAGTTCAAATAAAATTTAAGGAAGAAATAATAAACAACAGGATAGACACTGCACATGGATGGACAATAGAACCGAGTAGGTGAAGCAACGTCAAGTCCAATGCTGGCCTCGCCTGCAGGACATACAAAGAAACTAACAGGATAGAGCAGGTCTAGAGAGGGACGCTGGAACCCATACTTCTGAATTTAAACGGGAAATAGACAAAGATGTTACGTGTTTATAAAAGGTTTTAAAATCACAACAAATGCTGAATATACGTCACTTTCTAGTATATGTAATACTTACCAAATGGGACACATATTAGGTTGCAAAAGAAATTACAAAAAACTGGAGCTAGCGACCAAAGGACTAAGATAACTCAGAACAAAAAACACGCCCCATATATTTTAGGAAAAAACGGCACAGTGATTTAATGGTAAATCACTATAAACATGAAGGGATTCACCCAGAGTTCAAGACGACAACATGTGTCAGCCTGACTTTCTGAATGACTGCACAGGAAAGGCTGCCATCCAAGGAAGCACAGAAAAGGACACCCCTTAGGTCCTGGATGGAGGAGGATGTTCCCCAAGTCCTGCTTGGAGAAGGTGGCTCTGGGGACCGCATGGGGAAGGATGCCCCTTTTCCAGCCTCCCCATCCATACTTCTCCTGACCTGTTAATGTAGAACAAAGAGATTTGGAGGAAGAAACATGGGACTAAACTTTACTGTTTTCCTTTTAATCAACATTTTATAAATTCTAATTTTTATTTGATAAAAATAAGTGAAATGTATGACATAAACACAGTGTAACAACCGATTAGACCTATTTTTCCAATCTGAGTCCTGGCTACCGGGAGTATTAGTCATTCTACTTTTCTGTATTTGTAAAGCTTCTCAAAATTAAAGATAAAAGAGTTTATTGCTAGTAACATGTATAAATAGACATTGAATAAAATGTGACTCTTTAAAAATTAGTTTATTCTATGGGCTTCTTTTGAAAGGTTATGATGTACTAAAATTACTAGCGGATCTTTATTACAAGCTCACTGGTAAAAATAGACAATGTGGAAATATTCTAATTTGTTAGAAATTAGTGTTGAATGAGTATTAATCAAAACTTTAAAACCAAAGTACATGGACATAAGAATAAATTATTCGACTTAATTATCCACTGACTTTAAATTCTAGTTGCTAAATTTACTTTTTGCCCATTTCACCTCCTTCAAATCTCCAAGTAACTCTTCATTTTTCTCTCCTGTCAATATTTTATTCTCCCTTATTTTTTTTCTATTTCCTGATTTTTTGAACAACTCCAAGGGAGTTGTGTTTTGCTTGTGTTGAATGACATCATTACACCAACCCATTAGGCAACTAGACCCTCATCAAGGTGAGCAATAGGAGACTTCAGACCACAGAGCCTCTCCTGATTTTTGACTCAGGCTACCTGGCAACCGTGTTTAAATTATGAGTTGTTTAATTTTTTAGATCCCCTATAGATAAAGAAGGATTTTAATAATCATCAATTTAAAATGCACTGGGACACTTTATGACTGACATTTCTTGCAGTTTCTGTGCTGCGGCCTCATGAGTCTGTAAGAAACATCCTGTTCCTCATTCTGCCCTTGCTCCTTGGACTCCAAAGGGAAAAGCCAGAAATTCTGTGGATATAAAACATGGAAACATTCATTCTTTAAAGAAAAAGGCAGTAAAGCAGAGATGAGAACAGGGAAAGGATGTTATTGAATACATGCAAATGGATAAAATATGAATGATCATGTTCTCATGTTCAACTCAATTTTTAAAAGTGGATGTATGAGCAGTGCCAGCATTTAGTCAGACCATGGTGGGCCTGTGGGCTAGAACAAGAGGCCACACTCAAGGAGAGATGGCACTCACGACGTGGGGCCTCTGCTCCTTTATGACTCCCCTTCTTCAGTGACCCAGAGCACCCTCCTATCACAGCCTGTAGGGAAGAGGAAGGTGTTAGGGCACTTTGAATCACAGCGGAGTGTGTGTCTACATGCTCTCCTCACATGCCACAAATCTGCATCGCTTTACAATATTTCAATAGATTATGAGTAAGGAAGATCGCTGCAGAACCAGTAAAAGCTGCTCTCACAGACGATGCGCTAAATTGGGTTTTACAAAGTATTGTGAGAGATCTTGGGAGATGGGGAGCAACCTGCTCATAGATTTTGCCAAAATCAACATTTAAACACCTCCGTTAGGCAGAAGAGCAGTGCTACTGGAATTAGTTAGCAGCTCTTTCCTGCTGAACATCTCTCAGCCTCCAGACCCTACAGAGAAGAGGCCATGACCTAAAAGCAGTTTAAAATCTTGAAAAATAGAAGCTAAGGATTAAGTGAATATCGAAATTTGGAAAAGGAGAGAAGACTTTATTTCTTGTAGAGGGTTACAGCCTGCAAGGTGGCCACCCCACAGGCTGGGAAGAACAGCCTCCTGCCGAGACCAGCGATGGGCACTTCCAGGAGGAGGGGTTGGGGCAGGAGCTTTGGGGTGAAAGGGTTGGCTAAAGATACACATTCATCAGGTGACAGGCATAACAACATAAAACCAGCTGTAGGTAACACAGAATGATTCTGATACTGATGTTCAATTCCACACACTAACAGACGTGAGAACCTCATTCACTGCATGTGGAGAAGGCACTGTATCTGCTCTGTGCTGGTCCAGATGACTTATATTTATCATTGACTGGGTCTGCATTTTCTCTTCTCTAGATTTTGCTTATCCTGCAAAGCTTGTGCTGGGACTTCATTTCTAAGATTGAGTTTAAGCTGAGCCTCAGAGGCTTTATTGCAGCTACGGTGGATATGGCTTGGTTCCCTGCAGTACTCTCTGGAAAGTACCTTCCTCCGTTTGAAATCCCTGACATGGTACCTCCTACAGCCTGCACAGCTCTGGCCTCTGCCATGGGTCTCATGGCCTCTGCTGCTAAAACTAGAGAGGAGGTTCATCCCCTGCCTCTTTATAGAGAAGAGCCGCTTGCTGACTGAGCTGAAAAGGGACTCCCCACTGAGCAGGCTCACCAGTGTCCCGACAGCCGGGCAGATCATGGGGACGGGGAATTCTGAGCAGACCCTCTTCAGAAATTGAGTCTCAAGGGGCCTTGGGGAACTTGGTCAGCAGATGGCAAGATTTCATCTGTCAGTGGGTGGGTCAGCTTAGTGGGACTCCTGTCTTTGAAACTGAGACTCAAATCTCTACTCTGTACCGAGACAGAGATGGGGGCCAGGAAACAAGACACACAACCATTTTCCATCATCGAGGGGCAAGGCAGGGCTTGGCATGAGGCAGAACCGGGCTCCATCAATGCCACATGTCAGGAGGAACCCCTTTTCTGTTTCAATCCCTCCTGCTCATTTGTGGGAGGCATTAGAGAGGCCTGACATAGTTTTTTTTTTTTTCTCCACGGCCTGAGGACGTGATAGGATTTCATTCCCACCCCACCTTGTGGTTGGATGGAATCATGCACCCAGTTCTGGTCAAGACCAAGAAACTGAGGTATCAGTTTTCTTTGTGTGGGACCAGGAAAATGGCTCTAATTTGGCTTTGTGTTTATGCATGTGTGTGAGAACAGACAGGTAAATGTGTGTAATGGAGAGTGTGTGGGTGAGTGTGTACATGTGTGAGAGTGTGTATGTGAGTTATTGTGTGAATGTTTGTGAAGAAATAATGGTGTTTGAACTTGGGAGTATGAGTGTGTATGTGGAATATAACTGCGTGTGGATGTGTAAATATGAGTGCGTATGTGTGTTAATGTGTGTAAGTGTGTGAATAAGCCATGTAAGTGTGGTGTGTGAGCTTGGGCCTATGAGTGTGTGTGAGTGTGTGTGTCTGTGTGAGCATGACAGAGTGTGTGAGTTTGGGGTGGGCGCAGGCCACATCCAGCCCCTCCTGGGGTACTAGATCTTTCCAACCCAAGAACCTCAACTTGTTCTTCCTCACTCCACCCTGAGCTTCCCAGCCAACTGTCTCTCATCCAAACTCCCACAGGGAAACAGAGTCCCTGGGACCAGGGGCTCTGAGCATGGCACAGTGCCAAGTCTCCTCCCTTGCCACCTCCTGAGAACCTGGGTGTAGCACAAAACAGTCAAATATGTTCCTCTTCTGTCATCACTAACTAGAGCTCCACAACTTCCCAGATCGCCCTGTTAGCTCTTCACCATAATTAGCTATTTTCGGATGTCATACTAACATTCCTTAATTATTCCCTCAGAAACAAAGCAAATCCATGGGATGCAGAGGGTACGCAGATGATTTCTGCTCGGGAGAGAAGCCCAAACACACGTCCTAGGCAGAGCCCAGAGACCTGGAGTGTGGCCGCCAGTGGGCTGAGGGACAAGCAGATAGGCCTCAGTGGTGGCTGCCAGGTCCCTGGACACCGGTAGCCACTGGCCTTGCCTCTCCTCTGCCTCAGAAGCACCGGAGGCTTTGGGGATCTGGTGGTCCTCCGGCCCTAAACATGCACCTGGCGTGACAAAGGGAAGTTTGCCATCTGCATCCTCCTCAAGCTGCCTGTGCACCCCAGTAGCACCCACCCTCTCTGTGCTCCCTTCTGCACCCCATGTCCTGGGGTCCTTCTTTGTGCTACACCTGATGACAGGAACCAGTGTCCCGACTGTGACTTGCTTACCCCCTCAGGGACACACAAGCACTTTAATATCGAGGCTACTTTTCACCCCTTCTGCCTCCTGCAGGGACGCTCGATGCAGAGGCAGGAGGACAGAGGGGCTGGTCTCAGGTGTGGCTTCTCTCACACCTGGCGCAGGTGGCCACTCCCTGCCCCCCACCCCCCACCTCAGCTCCCGGGTGTGAATGAGAAAGGGGAACCAAGAGATCATCGTTACATGGGACACACCACAAACCCCAAAAAGACCCATTTGGTGAAAAGAAGTAAAACAACCACAAGTCTATTTTTGCCTGAGGTGGTCTCATGGCTGAAGCAGACCGCTGCTCTCCTGTCTGGGCTACTCAAATAGTAACCCGGTGTGTCCTCCCATGTGCATTTTCCTTCGGGTTGAGCAAAAACACTTTGTCATCTTCCCACTCCTCAATAGAGCAGAAGGGAACGAAAGGCAATTACAGGGCCTTACAGAGCTGCTCCGGGGGCCGCGGGAAACTTATCAGCATCCTGGAAAAGACAAAACCAGTGGGTTGCATGTGGCCTCTGACACCTGCCACCCTGACTGCAGGGTGTGGCCACCCCCACCTTTCACCTTCCCATCATTAGCGCCTGGACAAAGCGCTCGAAAGCCCAGGCCCGTGGGTCAGCTCCAGCTGCTCCGCCTGACAGGGGTCAGGGAGGCGGGCCAGCCCCACAGCCAAGTCACAGCTACAGGGCCTGGTCGCACCTGAGCAGCGCGGCCTCGGGCTGCTGCTGGCGCTGCAGGCTCCGCGCCTGACCCTCCAGCCTGAGCAGCGGGCACTTGGCCGGGAAGCACCTCTCCAGCTTGCGGCTCAGCACCACGTTCACGCGCAGCGCCTGTGGCCGCTCGGCCCCGGCTCCACGCAGCGCTTGCAGACCGTGAGCCCGCAGGGCAGTGTCACCGGCTTGTGCAGCAGCCGCGGGCAGCCGAGCAGGTCGCGGGGCGCGCCGGGCTCCAGGGCCGGCCCTCCCTAGCCTGGCGCCTCAAGCTCGCCGCCCGGCTTCCCCGTGAACAGTGGCCGTTCGCGCAGGCCGGGGCACACCAGGCCGCCCGCCAGCTCTGCCAGCTCTCCCAGCTCCTCCGGCCGCAGCGCCTCGAGCCGCAGGGCGACACAGAACGCGCCCAGGGCCACCGGGAGGCGGTCGGCGCGGGCCAGCGCGTTCCCCAGCCTCAGGCACTGACCGCGGTCGGGCTGCGCCAGCCGGGCCAGCGTGGAGCGGAAGAGCCCGGCTGCTTTCTGGTACTCGCTCTGGCGGAAGGCCTCGTCGCCCACCTCCAATCGCTGGGCGATCGGCTCCCCGCAGTCGCAGCCCGGACACTGGGGCGGCGGCGGGACCGGCTCAGTGCTGATTCCCGCGGGGCTGCGCCCCTGCGGGCCTGGAGCGAAGGCGTGGAGCAGGGGCAATGCGCTGCTGCTGGGAACTGGCCGGCGGGAGCACGGCCACAGCCTTCGCCTGCAGAACGAAAAAAGCGTTTTAAAAATCCTTTTAACATCCGCAGAACGATTTTTAAAACCTTTTTTAACATCTCTGAAGAATTACATTGGAAATTTGTTAGAGATTGTATTGGACCTATAGACTGATTTGAGTATGATGGTCATTTTAACAGTATTAATACTTCTAATTCATAAAAATGGGATAACTTTCCCTTTATTTGTATCTTTTTCAATTGATTTTTATCAATGTTTTATAGTTTTCATTTTAGACATATTTATTTGGCTTAGTTTATTCCCAGGCATTTTTTTATAGCTATTTTAAATGGGATTGGTTTCTTGATTCCTTTTTCAGATGGTATGCTGTTGGGTATAGAAATGCGACTGATTTTTCTATGCTGATTTTGTATTCTAAAACTTTACTGTATTCATTTACTATTTCTGTTTTTTCAGTAGAGTATTTAGGGTTTTTTATACATAAGATCATGTCATCTGCAAACAGGGACAATTTGACTTTATTTTTGTTTTTCAATTTGGATGTCTTTTCTTTTGCTGGCCTAATTGCTCTGGCTAGGACTTCCAGTGCTATGTTGAAGAGAAGTTATTAAAGTGAACATCCTTGTCTTGTTCTAGACCTTAGAGACACAGTTTTCAATTTTTCCTTATTCAGTATCATGTTGGCTGTGGGTTATCATATATGGCCTTTATTTTATGGAGCTATGTTCTTTTTATAACTAATTTGTTAAGAGATCTTATGTTTACAAAAAACATTGAATTTTGTCAAATACTTTTTCTGTATCTATTTAAATGACTATTTTTTTATCTTCCCTTATCAAATGTGGTGTATCACATTTATTGATTGACATATCATAAGCCCTCCTTGCCTCCCTGGAACAAATACAACCTGATTATGGTGAATCATCTTTTTAATGCACTTCCAAATTATGATTGCTAGCATTGCTGGTTTTGAATTGTTGCATTCATGTTCATCAGTGATATTGGCCTGTAGTTTAGTTTTTTACTGTTCTTGTCTCATTTTGGAATATGGTAATTGTGTCTTCATAGAATGAGTTTGGAAGAGTTTCCTCCTTTTCACTTTTTTTGTAATAATTTGTAAATAATTACTATAAGTTCCTCTTTAAATGTTTTGAAGAATTCAGCAGTGTAAGCATCGGATCCTGAACTTTACTTTTCTTTTCTTTTCTTTCTTTCTTTTTCTTTCTTTCTTTCTCTCTTTCTTTCTTTCTTTCTTTCTTTCTTTCTTTCTTTCTTTCTCTTTCTTTCTTTCTCTTTCTTTCTTTTGTTCTTTCTTTCTTCTTCTTCTTCTTATTAAATATTTTTGGTTTAGAGACAGGGTCTTCCTCTGTCACTCAGGCTGGAGTGCAGTGGTGCAATCATAGCTCACTGCAGCCTCAAATTCCTGGACTTCAGTGATCCTCCTGCCTCAGCCTCCCGTTGTTAGGACTGCAAGTGCACACCACTACACCTGGCTAATTTTTATTTTTATTTTTGTAAAGACTGGGTCTCACTATGTTCCCCAGGCTAATCTGGAACTTCTGGCTTCAAGTAATCCTCTTGCCATGGCCTCCAAAGTGTGAGTTTACATGTGTGAGATACTGTGACAGGCCCTCCAGATTTTCTTGTATTGAGAGACAATGCTTCAATCTCATTATTTGTTATTGGTCTGTTTGCATTTTGTGTTTCTTCATTCTTCAATTTTGATAGGTTATATGTGTTCAGAAACTTATTTATTTCTTCTATGTTTTCTAATTTATTGGCATATAATTGTAGTACTTTCTCATGATTCTTTGTATTTCTGTAGTAACCATTTCAATGTCTTTTTTCATCTGATTTTATTTATGTGAATCTTCTCTTTTTCTTAATCTGACTAAATACATATCGATTGTGTTTATCTTTTCAAAAAATAACTTTTCATTTCATTGATCTTTCATATTTTTGTCTCCATTTTGTTTATTTGTGCTCTATTCTTTATTATTTGTATTCTTTTTTACCAATTTGGGGCTTAGTTTGTTCATGTTTCTATGATTCCTTGAAATACATTCTTAAGTTATTAATGAGAGTTTTCTTTTTTTCATATAGAAATGTATTTCTGCAAACTTCCCTCTGAGGACTTTTTTTGCTGTATTTCTTAAGTTTTTATATGTTCTGATTTCATTTTCATTTGTCTTAAGAAATTTTAAAATGAAACAAAATTTATTTTTTAACCCATTGTTTAAGGACACATTGTTTAATTTGTATGTATTTGCACAATTTCTGAAGTTCTTGTTGTTTATTTCTAGTTTTATTCTATATTGTCAGAAAAGACGTGATATAATTTTGATCTTTTTTGAATTTGCTAAGGCTCATTTTGTGCCTAATATATGATCCATCATGGAAAATGTTCCATGCGCAGTAGAGAAGACTGTGAATTATGCAATTGTTGGATAACATGTTCTGTAAATGACTACTAAGTTATTTGGTCTAGAGTTCATTTTAAATATGATGTTTCTTTGTTGATCTTCTGTCTTGATAATCTGTTTATTGCTGAAAGTGGAATGTTTAGATTTCTTACTATTATTTTATTGCTTGCTGTTTCTCCTGTTAGATCTATTAATGTTTGGTTTATATATTTAGGGGCTTCAATATAGAGGGCATATATATTTACAATTATATTATCTTGTGATATTGACCCCTTTATCATTATATAATGGCCATATTTGTCTGTTTTTATAGGATTTTGCTTGAAGTATATGTTATCTGATATAAATATATCTATACCGGCTTTCTTTTGGTTTCCATATTTATGAAATATATTTTTCCATCTGATCACTTTCAATTTATGTGTGTATTTACAGATGAAGTGAATTTCCTGTAGAAAGTTTATAGTTAGGTCTTGTTTTTAATCAGTGTAGCCATTATATGTCTTAAATGGGATAATCCATTTACATACAAGATAATTATTCATAGGCAAGGACTTGGTCCTGCCATATTATTACTTGTTTTCATGTTTTTTAAAAATTTATACTTTGATTGATTGATTGATTTCACTATCTTCCTTTGTGATTAAGTGATTTACTCTATCAGTGTGTTTCGGTTTCTTTTTTTTTTAATTTTTAAAGTATCTATTAAAAGTTTTTGCTTTGTGGTTACCACAAGGCATGCAAAGAACATTTTATGGTTACAGTAAGTTATTTTAAAGAGATAGCAACTTAATTTTGATTCAAAAAAAGGGGAAAAGAAACCACTCTACTCTTTAACTTCATCACTCCCTCACATTTTGCATTTTTGATGTCTTAATTTACATCTTTGTATATTTCTATTCCTTAACAAATTATTGTAATTATTATTTTATTTGTATTGTATTTTAACCTTCCTACTAAGGATATATAAGTGGTTTACATCCAATTATTACCATATTAGAGCATTCCAAATTTGTCTGAATCCTCACTTCTATCTGTGGGTTTATACCTTCAGATTTTTTGTGCTACATATTGCTGCCATTTCCTTTCAGTTTGAAGAACAATATTTAGCATTTCTTGTAAGGCTTGTTTGATTACAATGAATTCCTTTGCTTTTTGTTTGTCTGAGAATGTTTCAATCTCTCCTTTATTTCTAAATGATAGCTATGCTGGATACTTTATTCATGGTTGACAGTTTTTTTAATTCAGCACTTGAATCTATTATCCTACTCTCTCCTGGCCTGTAGTGCTTCTGCTGAGAAGTCTGCTGCCAGGCATAATGGAATTCTCTTATGTGTTGTTTCCTTTTTCTTAGTCCTTTCAGGGTCTTCTCTTTGTCTTTGACCTTTGAGAGTTTAATTATAATATGTCTTTGGTTGTCTTATTCAGATTAAATATGATTGGGCACTTTGACCATCCTAAACATTTTAATCTTTCTCCAGGTTTAAAAAGTTTTCTGTTATTTCTTTGAATAAACTATCTCTTTTTCATTCTTAGTTCCACTTTAACACCAATGATATGTAGATTTCCTCTTTTGTTGGTGTCCCACAAATCTCATAAACTTTCTTTGTTTCTTTTCATTCTTTTTTTTCATTTTACTCTGACCATGTATTTTCAAAGAGCCTGTTGTTTGAGCTCAATGTTTCTTTCTTCTGCTTGATCAGTTCTTCCTTCTGTTGATGCCTTCCGTTGGATTTTCAATGTGTTCATTGAACTTTCCTGCTCCAGGGTTTACATGTGATTTTTCCCATTATTTTGATTTCTTTGTTGAATTTCTCTGGTAAATTTCTGAATTGTGTCTCTGCTTCTCAGTGTTCAGGCTCTTCTTAAGACAGCCATTTTGAATTATTTGCCTGCCAGATCATTCATCTGTATGTCTTTAAGTTCAGTTGCTGACACCTTGTTTTGTCCATTTGGAGAGGGAACTTTTCCTAAGCTATCATTATTATATGTAGATATACATCTCTGTCTACACATTGATGAATTAGATGTTTATTTGAGTCTTCTCAGTCTGGGTTTGCTTGTGACTACTTTTAAGTGGGCCTATTAAGAAATTTTGAGTGGACTTATCATCGTATTCCAGTTTAACGTTAGAGAGAGCCCAAATCCCATGTTAGACGTAAGTCTTCCAATGGCTCCACTGATGCAACATTTGCTGGCTGGGCCCATGGGTGATCCACAGGGAGCCCCTGGCTATGGGGGAGAACAAGTCAGGCCGTCAAGCCTGTAGAGTCTGTGTATTATGTTTCACATGGTGGCTGTTGCTGGCCCCACCTCCTCTTATGTCATTAACATGCCTCAGGTGGTTCATCCCTTTTGGCACTCATGGTGCCACTTGTGGGCTGATACAGGAGTGAGGCTACTGTGAAAGAACTCAATATAGTGGAAAAAACAAATATCAAACTCCTGCTCACTTTCTTCAGTGTAAAAACTATAAGCCCTGTGGGAGTTTCTGCAGATGGTACCATAACGGCCTGAGGGAAGAGTATCACAGTCACAGAGTATTGGTTCTCTCACTGCATAAGCCATGGTTTCACCCATCTTCACAGGCTAAAGGTGCTTCATAACCTTGTTCATGTATTGAGGTTCTGTTGGCTCTTGTAATGGTAATTTCACATGTGGACAGTTGTTCATATTGATGTTTCTATAGGGGTACGATAGCTGGAGAGGTCTGCACCACTGTCTTGCTCTGCCTCAATCATTTTTTTTTTCTAACAAGAATTTGTCTTCTCCTAGTTTTTCTTTTTCTCTTAACTGACCTAGGTTTAGCCTTGTAATCCTTCTCCCTCCTCTGCTTCTAATGTCATTGTTTCTTTGTATTCCTATCATATCTACATGCTACATGACCTTCAGCTGGTTATGTATAATATATAAGACTTAATATCCTATAAAATAGAGATAATAATAGCATCTACTTGATAGGAAAGTTAAGAATATTAAATGACACCATTGATGTTAAATGGAGGTAACTTTCTGAAATGTATTAATAAGACATTATTCTTTGTTCTAGTCTTCACTTTATACACTAGACTACTTTATTCGAGTTTTCTTCTTTCAGTCAGAGAAAGAAATAAAATTGTAATAGTAAAAATTAAATAAAATTTAATTTAAAATTGTGTTCTTGTCTTCTCGTTGTTCAGCCATGGAAAGCAATAAAATTGTTATAGCAGAAATTAAAAGTGAGCAGAGACTTATTTAAAAATTGGTGTTCTGCTTTTCAATGCCAAAATAAGAACTAGAAACTTTTAATAAGGCAATGGTCTGAAGAAACAATTTATTGAAGAGAATATGGGTTTCTACATCCTAAGAAGTTTTTTTACGTATGTGAGTCGAGTTTGGCTGCCTTGAATCCTACTATGACTTTAATGGAAGTTCTAGTTAGGGTGGAAAGTGTCAAAGAAAACAATTGCACCAGACAAAGTTAAACACATAAAAAAGCTGTTATTGAAGGCTATTGCAAAAGGACAAAGAGGCCAGAACTTAGTCTGAACTCAGCTCCACTGAAACAAACAGCAGTAGAGATTTTAAGAGCTGGGATGAGGGGGTGATCATAGGCCACTTGTTTTTGACAGTTGTCTTTTTCCAAAGGAACATTAAACTATCTTATCTTTATGACAGAAGGTAATTTTACAAATCAGAGCAATATGCCCACCATAATTTGGCTCTTACTCTCTTATGGAGTCTGGGAGATAATGGTGTTATCTTTCTTGAGGATTACATTTCAAAGGAATGGCTCTGAGGTCCTTGAAATGGACATTTCTGAAGTGTAAAACTGGCAGATGGGCTCTTAAAAAGATTTATATATCAAAGAGGCAGAGAGAGAATTTACAATGATAACATTTCTAAAATATGCTAATAAAAGAGGCCAGGAGCCAAGAATCAGAAATAATCCTGTCTAAAATTTTATCAAGCTGAGGGGATGGTTTCAGTCAAAGGTTTAGTGTAAGGGGAATTTCTATGAACAAGAGGAAGAGAAGAGCTTTTAATTACACAGGAAGAAGAAAGTTCCCAGGAGATGTGACTATGGCTCTGCCTGTGTCTCTGATCAGGTATTCAGCCCCAACATCTTCCTGGGACTCACTCATACAGATAGATAGGAAAAAATAGACAGTTAAAGAAAGATGAGAAAATATGCAGGCTGATGTCTTACTTCTCTAGTGCACATAGGGTGTTCCAGGAATGACAGAGTGGCAGGACAGGGGGAAGTGCCTAAGAGATCAATTCCCTTACTCTCAGCTTGTGAGTGCTGTCTGAAAAGCCAGTCTCTCCAAGCTTGGTGGGAGGGGGACTCACAACTGGTTTGACAGGGCCAGTGGAGGCCCCTGGTGGGACATGCTGGCCTCAGAATGTGAGGTCTTGGTGGCTAGAGGAAAATGGCAGGTGACCAGAAACTTCATCAGTGGGTGACAATACATGCAAAATCAAAGAGAAGATGAGCCATGCCAGCAGATATCTGTGAAGAATGCCCAGAGAAGACTACATTGACCATGCACAGCACAGACCAGCCTGTACCAGAGGACGGTGCAAATGGCACGCCGCAGCAACAGAGGCGACTTCGACCCCGCCCACGCCACCAGCAGCTCGGACCCTAGGGTCAGATACCACCACAGAGGCTAATTCCAGTGGTCGCCCCGCATCTCAGGAAGACGGGAACCTGCACTCAGCACCATCCCCGTGGCTGCACAGGGCCCAGGACCCGTAACCCGGCGCTCTGGGTGCGGGCCAAGAGCGTAACCTAGGGTGGCATGTCGGTGAACTCGGCGACCCTCTAACAACCTGGGAGCAGCCCCAACAGCCTCAATTGTGGGCTCATCTGCAACTGCCACCTGCCGATGGCGCACGGGAGCAGCAGTGGCAACCCTTGACCCTGTCCCCACCACCAGCAGCGTCGACAGCAGGGCCAGATAGCGCCGCGGCGCCTAAGACCTTAGGCCACGCAGCTGCAGGAGGACGTGAAACTGGCGCTGACCGGCCCCCAGAAGCTATGCAGTCCCCAGCGCAGGCCAGTCCGCACTCTGGGCGCGGGCCAAAGATCAGATACTATGATGAAAGGACGGTGAACTTGGTGACCCTGAGGCTCGCAATGGGTTTAGCAGCAGCTGCCACCTGCAACCAACCCTGACCCTGCCCGCGTCACCAGCTGCAGTAACCCAGGGCCAGATGCCGCCTCAGCGGCTAGTGCAGGTAATCGTCCTCCAGCTGCAGCAGGGAGGAAATCCGCTGCTCAGCCCCATCTCGGCGGCTGCACAGAGCCCAGCGCCGGCACAGAGCCCAGAGCCCGCACAACCCGCTCTGGGTAAGGGCAAAGGAAGAGCGGACCTAGGGTGGGAGGACCCTGCACTCCCTGACCCTCAGGCCGTCTGGGGCCAGCCCTGCCAGCCTCGGTCTAAAGCTCCGCTGCAGCTGCTACCTGCTCATGGAGCGCAGCGGTGGCAAACCCGGACTCCGCCCACCAACACCAGCGGCCTCGAAACCCTAGAGCCAGACTCCACCTAGTGGCCAAAATCAGGCAGTCGGCCCACAGCTGTAGGAGAGCGGGAACGTGCCCTTCAGCGGATTCCGGGAGGCTGCACAGTGCCCAGCGCAGCCACCCGGATCTGGGCGCGGGCAAATGGCCCTCAGGCCGTCTGGGACCGGACCAGCCCTGCAGCCTCAGCGGTGGGCTCAGGGGCGGCTGCCACGTGCACACGGTGAACTATAGCAGCTGTGGCAGCCCCCGACCCTGTGCAAGCCACCGGCAGTGCGGATCCCATGACCAAAAGCCGCCGCGGCGCATAACTCAGGCTGTCGGCCCCGCAGCAGCCAGAGGGCGGAAACTTTCAGCTTAGCCCCATCCCAGCACCTGCACTGTGCTCAGCGCCTGCAATCCAACTCTCTGGGCGCGGGCAAGGAAGACTGGACCTTAGGGTGGGAGGGCGGTGCATTCGGGGACCCTCAAGGCTTCTGGAATAAGGCCTTCCAGCCTCCGCCACGGGCTCAGCTGCAGCTGCCAGCTGCACACTCCTGGAAGCAGCAGCGGTGGCAGCTCTGTTCTCTGCCAGCTCCAGCAGCAGCGCGGACCGCAGAGCCAGAGGTCACTGCAGCGCCTGTTATGAGATTGGCTTCTCAGCTGCAGGAGGGCGGGAATCTGCACCCAACCAGATCCTCATGGCTGCACAGTGTCCAACGCCCACAACCCTGCAATCTGGGAGCCGGCCTAGGAATAACGGACCCTGGGGTGGAAGGGTGGTGCACTCAGCCACCCTTAGGCAACCTCAGACCAGCCCTGACAGCATCTGCCTCGGACTCAGCTGCAGCTGGCACCTGCCCATGGCGCACAGCAGTAGTAGTGGCAGCCGTGACCCTGCCCGCAGACACCAGCAGCAAGACCCCAGGACCGGATGCCTCCAAGGCATCTAAGTCAGGTGGTCGGTCCCATAGCGCTGGGGATTGCAGCGGTCGCCCGCTGCAGCAGGGCGAGAATCGGCTGCTCAGCCCCATAGCAGCTGTGGCAGCCCCCATCTCTGTCCATGCCACCCAGTAGCACGTACCCCAGGGCCAGATACTGCGGTGGCGCCTAATTCAGACTGTAGCTGCAGCAGGGCAGGAATCCGCTGCTCAGCCCCATCCTGGAGGCTGCTCAGAGTCTAGCCCTCGTACACCGCGTCCTGGGAGCAGGCTAAGGAAGAGCAGACCCTAGGGTGGTAGGGCGATGCACCCAGAGACCCTCAGGGTGTCTGGGACCAGCCCTGCCAGTCTCTGCCACGCGCTCACTTGCAGCTACCACCGCCAGGTGGCTCCCACCAGCAGCGATGGAAACCCCGCTGACCTTGCCCGCCGCCAACAGCAGTGAGGATTCCACTGCTGGATCCCTTGCCAGGGCGGGAACCTGCCGCTCAGCCTATTCTGGGCAGCTGCACAGGGCCCAGCGCCTGAAACCCCGAGCTCTGGGCTCGGGCCAAGGAAGAGTGGACCCTAGGCTGGGAGGGCAGTGCACTCGGCGATCCTCACGCTTTCTAGGACCAACCCTGCCGGCCCCTACTGAGAACTCAGCTACAGCTGCCACCTGTACAACGGCGCCGCAGCAGCAGAGCAACCGGGCACTTTGCCTGCACCACCAAGAGCCAGGACACCAGGGACAACGCCGCCTCAGCGCCTAATTCAGGCAGTCAGCCCCGCAGCTGCAGCAGGGCAGAAACCTTTGCCCTCGGCCCAGTCCCCTTGGCGGCACAGTTCCCAGTGCCCGCGACCCGGAACTCTGGGAGCAGGCAAAGGAAGAGCGGACTCCAGGCTGGGACAGTGGTCCACTCCATGACCCTGAGGCTGTCTGGGAAACCCTTGCCTGCACATGGCGCGCGCAGCAGCCTTGGAGGCAACCCCAGACCGTGCTCCTACACCAGCCAGGCGGATCCCAGGGCCAGACCTCGCCCAGCGGCTAATTCAGGTGGTCAGGCCCCAGCTGCAGGAGGGCGGGAACAGGCCGCTCAGCCATTTCCTGGCTGCTGCCCTGTACCCAGCGCCTGCACACCCCGCTATGGGTGCCGGCAAGAAAGAGCTGACTCTAGGGTGAAAGGGCCCTGCACTTAGAGACCCCCAGGCTGTCTGGGACCAGCCCTGCCTGCTTCTGCTGTAGGTTCAGCTGCAGTGGTAACCTGCACAAGGCGCGCAGCAGCAGCTGTGGCAAACTCTGACCCTGCCAGTGCCACCAGCAGTGCGGACCCTTGGGCCAGAAGCCTCCACAGCGCCTAAGTCAGGGTATTGGTCCCCAGCTGCAGGAGGGCAGGAACTGGCGCTCAGCCCCACCTTAGAGGCTGCATGGTGCCCAGAGCCAGGGCCCAGCTCTTCTAGCGCAGGTTGTGGAGGGGCCAGGGGCCACCCAGGCTGGAGGGCAGTGTCATGATCACAGCTCACTGAAGCCTCAATCTCCCAGATTCAAGGTATGCTGTCACCTCAGCCTCCTGATTAGCTGGTAGCTGGGACTACAGGCAGGTGCCATCATGCCTGGCTGTTATATTTTATATATATTTTGGAGAGACAGGGTCTTACCATGTTGCCCAGGCAGGTCTTGAACGCCTGGAGTTCAAGCGATCCTCCCAACTTGACCTTCCTCAGTGGTGGGATTATATGTTTGAGCCACTCTGCCCTACCTGCCGCTTTTCTTATAAGGATACTTGTCATTGGATTTAGGGCCCATCCTAATCCAAGATGAGATGCCCTCATCTCAAGGTGCTGGATTTAATTACATCTGCAGATTGTTTTCCAAATAAAGGCACATTCACAAGTTCCAGGTAGACATATCTTTTGATAGACCACCATGCAATCCACTCTAGGAGTATTAAAGTGCCAGTGTGGACTGAGGCACCAAAGAATCACATTATTATGTCATATAACTTGCCTTATTCATAGTGACCCATGGGCTTGGAAACAGAACCACTTGCAGCTGTCAGGGAAGTAAGTGCACAGTGCCTGACCTTTCCTGCAGCCTCCTCCCCACTGGTCTTCCATGAGAAGATCACCCCTTGAGAGTGTCGAGAGATTCCTGTTAAATGCTAAAGACCACAGGAGAGTTTGGGAGGGGGAAGATGTTTGGGGAGCCGCTTAGTTGTCCTGAGGTGCCCATCACCCTTCACCATTTCAGCAATATGGATCTTCCAAGGATCTGGGAATGGGAACCAGGCATAAGACAGATACATGTGGGTGAGAAGAGGCCAGAGTCTTTCTCTGTGTAGGTACCATCCAGCCCAAGATGAGCATTGCTGCAGAAACACATGCACTCATGATGCTAAACCCAATCTATTGAGGACTTAATACAAACTGCGATTTTTTTAAAGCATTTAATTCTTACCACAGTCCTTTGTCATCTTATTGTCTCCATTTTACAGATAAAGAAACAGGCACAGAGGGTTTAAGTAACATGTACGAGGTCACACAATCACAGCTAGTAAAGCCAGGATTAAAGTCCAGTCAGTCGGCATTCAAAGCCTGTGCTCCTGCCCCAAAATGACAAGTAATGACTTAAAGGCAAGAAAAACAGACCCTCCTCTACCCACCATCCTCATACACAGCCTTCCAGCCCAGGATCTGAGCCATTCATTCATTTGCTCTCATATTCATTCATTCATTCATTCATTCATTCAGTTCTTCATCATACATTTAGTGAAGCTCTGTCATGGAATGTCCACACAGAAGGTACAAAAATGAGGCAGGTGTATTTTCTCCCATCTAAAGGGGGATGACCACGTGAAGAGAACTGATGGGCTGCGTGTCCAGTGGCCTTACGGGGCAGTGGTGGAGGGTGGCCCAGGTCATCCACTCTCTGGGGAGGCAGAACCAGAAGCACCAGTTGGACAACTGCTAAAGAGATGTTTATGCAGGCTTATATATTAAGTCCTATATTTTGAAAGCTTTTTAAATTTTTTCTTTAAGATTTTAGATGCTTACCACTGAGTACCAGAGGGATGTAGCCTGATGCCCTTATCAACAAAGTCAGGGATGGTGGCACACAAGGTTTGACTACTGCATACACGGTCACAGCGCTACCTCCAGATGGCCTGAATTCCCCTGCCCTCTCTAGTGGGGAGAAGAGCTGGCAGAGCCATTAGCATGGGCTTCAGCCAATCCTGGCCACTTTGATGCTCCTGGTGCTGACCCAGGGTCCTGGAGGATGGGCTGAGGTGGGGGGTAGAGATGTTCAGGGCAGCGGCCCCTTTCCATCCACCCTGGAACTATTTCAGTATTTCACCACCAATTCATCTATTCCCTTGTGCACTGGCTGAACATCAGCCCTGCTCCAGGTCTCAGTTTTCCCTTTGTAAAGGGAAAGCTCTGGATTCAGGGGTGATGAGAGGCCATCATGGTCTTGAGATTCCAGGCCTGTAGGCAGGGGGTGAGAGGTTCACTAGGAGTGCAGAAGACCAAGGTTGGGGAGAAGC
Source organism: Homo sapiens (assembly GCF_000001405.40). NCBI lineage: Eukaryota > Metazoa > Chordata > Mammalia > Primates > Hominidae > Homo > Homo sapiens. The sequence continues at coordinate 6,827,379 of NC_000021.9, read as the reverse complement.
AGAGGAGAGAGTGGCCTCCCTTTGGCCCAGGTGGGAGGTTCACAAAGACACCCTTCCTTCTTCTCCAAGGCAGGACTTGTTAACAGTGAGCTTCAGGCAGTCTGGCACTTGGGACTAACTAGGATGTCACCCTCCCTGCAGCCTCCACTCCATAGACAACATGAGAAGAGTGTGTAAGTATAACTAGGAACAGGCTAGTGTCCTGATATTCTCTGTGATGGAGGGGACAATCCTCCTCAGAGACCCAAGGGAGCCCAGAACCATGGACAGCCTGAACACACTTTACTTTCTCAGCAGTGACAATCAGAACCCTGGCTTACAAAAGCAGAAATTAAAAGGAGAAAAACCTAAATTCCTGCCTGTACCAGGCTGACTCACTCCAAGGCCCTGCTAGGACTAAGCTAACTTTATGTACAAGGTCAAGCAGAGCACAGAAGGAACGGACTCCAGGAACGGGGATGAGAAAAATAAGTTCTTCTTATCAGCTTCCCCCTTTGAGATTCTTTCCTAGGCCAGTATGTCTTTGCTCTGCTCTCATAATTATTTTTGTAACTATTTCTGTAAGTTTGTAAGGATTTTGTAAGTTCCTGTTTTCCATCTGTGCAACACTGAGAAGGTCACAAGACATGCCTGAGCAAGCCTAAAATAGTGACCATCCACTGAGAGCCTGCTGGGCAGCCCAGCAGAGGTCACCAGGCATGTTTGAGTCATACACCTGTCACTGTTTGATTAACTGCCTTTGTTCTGCTTCTATAAGCTTGCCATCCCGCCCTGTGAGTTTCACGCAGCTGCATGCTTAAAAACCAGGCCCCATCTTTGTTCGGAGCTCAGCCTTTTGGATGCGAATCCACTAGGCCAGTGGCCACTTTAATAAAATCCTCCTGTCTCATCCATTGGTCTCTCCAGTCTCTTGAATCCCGCAATGCTACAATGGCTCCAAGACAGCATGTGGGATCTAAGTAATAACTTTTTTGTTTGTTTGTTTTTATTTTTGTATATTTTGTATATTTGTTTATATTTTTGTATAAGACTGGGTCTGGCTTTTTCACCCAGGCTGGAGTGCAGTGGTGCAATCACAGCTCACTGCAGCCACCTCCTGGTCTCAAGCCACCCTCCCACCTCAGCCTCCCAAGTAACTTAGGACTACAGTTCTATACCACTATGGTTGGCTAATTTTTGCATTTTTTGCAGACACAAGGTCTCACTATATTGCTCAGGTTGGTTTCAAATTCTTGAGCTCAAGAGGTTTACTAGTCTCAGCTTTCTAATGTGCTAGGATTACAGGCATGAGACACCGTGCCTGGCCAGTAATTTTGTTTTATTATATTAAGGTGAGGTTTATACCACATTCTTCTGGTTACAGAAGTAATACATGCTCATTGTATACACTGAAAAATGTAAGCAGTATAAAGAAGAAAATAAAAAAGAATATGAAAATCATTAGTGGTCCCATTGCCTACCATAACATTATGTGCTGCTTTCTAATCTTTACTTCCTCTCCCTCCATGTGTGTCTTTGTGTGTGTGTGTGTGTGTCTGTCTGTGTGGTTTTTTGTTTTTTTTTTTTGGCACATAGTACAATAGCTGACATTTATATCTCTCTGACCAGTGTTGAGCATGGTGTTAAGCAATTGACAAAGTGTATTGTATTTAACTCCTACAGAAAATCTAAAAAGGGGAAGGGCAGTATAATTAATAGAATTTTCCAGATGAAAAGACTGGGGCCTGAGTTGAGGTCACATTTTATATACAGCATTATATTGTACTTCAGACATGTAACACAGTAAGTGTCCTGGAGAATCTTGGTCTCTTAGTCTGTATAATAACATAAGCATCTTTTGTGGGATTAATAGTTTTTCCAAAGCATGCCTGGAATTTTTGCATAATATTCTAGTGTTTAAATATGTTGTTTATTGCCAGGTGTAGTGGCTCACGCCTCTAATCCCAGCATTTTGGGAGTTCAAGACAGATGGATTGCCTAAGCTTAGGAGTTTGAGTCCAGCCTAGGCAACACAGGGAAACCCCATCTCTACTAAAATACAAAAAAATAGTGAGGCTTGGTGGGGTGTGCCTGTATTCCCAGCCACTTGGGAGGCTGAGACAGGAGAATTGCTTGAACCTGGGAGATGGATTTTGCAGTGAGCTAAGATCGTGGCACTGCACCCCAGCCTGGGCAACAGAGTGAGACCCCGTCTAAAAAAATGTTGTTTATCAAACCATTTTCATCTTTGAAACATTTCAGGTCTCCTCTTTGGCTTTTTTGCATTATAAATAATACTGTGATAAACATCCTTCAGCAGAAACCTTCATAGGCTAGCTTCCTAGAAGTAGAGGTATTAGGTCCAAGGTTTTGAATTGTTTTAAAGCTATTGATTTATCTGGATAAAATTGCTTCCAGAGATATTGTCCCATTTTGCATTCCAATCAGTGGAACTCACCTTCAGTATTTTGTGCAATTAAAAAAAATAATGTTTCTCCTTTTAAAGATTATATTTAAAATAGCTTTTAAATGTGAAAAATTTGTATCTACAAATAAGAGATAGTGACAAAAAATAAATAATAAAATAAACACAAGAGCAGAAAGTAGATTGAAACATTAAAATTCAAATCACAGGCCTCTGTTATGGAGAAGACAGCTGCAATAGCTTTTTTGTTCTTTTATCTACATTGGTAGATTCTTCTTTTAATTAATTTTTACCCCAACTTAAGTGCTGGCTGGGTTGGCAATTTGTTGCTGGGATGGAAAGAAGAAATGTGCACCTTGTCTTTTGCAGGTTATGAGAGCCTTGTCTGTCTTTGTGGTTGTGTGGGTGTCTGTTAGATTATTGTGAATATTGAGCTTTGAAAATAACCTAACAGTCAATCAGCTGCTGAGCTTCTATTACCAGTAGTGGGACACAATGTACATCATGTAAATAGGCAGACTTGTCACTCACAAGAGGGCTGACCCCTGGAAAGCCAGCACAGAGCCAGCTTTTCCATGTGAATCCACTCTCTCCAGAATATAACATAAGTCATGGAAAGAAATAAGAGTCTCAGGAAATGAGACTCTTACCACGATGAGAGGTGAACCTTGAAAAGCTATTTTAGCAATTAGGAAGAGAAGTCCCCTTTTGCATCCCAAATTAAGTAGAGGCCTGCTAGTCCAAACATAATTACTGAATAACCTGAGTCACCTGGGCCCTGAGGACTCCTGGCCTCTTAGTCCACATTTGCAGAAATATCAGGAGGTCAATCAGGAAGCTGGTTAGGCAGCTCAACACAGGGTCAGAAAGCTCCTAGGCATGCAAATAAATGTGCACACTGGAAATTGAGTTCTGCAATTTTTCCATGACCTAGAAAGCTATGATGATGAAAATGTTCTACATTCATGCTGCCTAGTTCAGTAGCCACTAGCCACATGTGGCTATTGAGTAATTGAGATGTGGCTAGTACAACTGACCAGCTAATGTTAAATTTTGTTTTATTTGAATTAATTTTAATTTTAATAGTCACCTGTGGCTATTGGCTACTGCACTGGATAGCACAGAGATGAGAAATAATAGAAACTTTTTTTGTTGTTGTTTCAATGGCTAACATTGTCAAAAGCTGAATTCCTGTTTCATGTAAAATTTTGGTTTATATTTTCTCAAAGAAGTGAAGTACAAAAAACAAAACAAAACAAAACAAAAGGATGATCAAGCAGAACTTTGGTAAGGAAGGGTGAAGCAGAGACACTTAATTTGGAGTGGGGACAACAGCAATGACCTTGTTTGAAATGCAGCTCCTGTCTGTGTGGCTATCTGTGCTCTGTTCAGGTGTCAGTTCTTCACTTCTTAGTTAAAGCAGTTATTTCAGCTGTGCAATGCTTTTTTGTTCAATAAGCATGATTTTTTACACAGCTGGTTTATCTTCAGTATGGAAACTTTCTGCTTAATCATCTTGATTTCTCTGGGCTTGTTCCCACTCTGCATATGTAAGCATGACACTTGTATCTCTCTCTCCAGGCTCTGATCTAGGATGACAGTTTCTATGATGTGCCCATCTACAGAAACACGCAAATTGCAACTTTAGGAAGAGAAAAAGAGGGCCCTGCAAAAGGCATCTACAGGCCCCATGTGCTGTTCACATTTCTTATTTATTGGTGAAGTGAGTCCTCATCCATTTATTGGACAGTTGCAAGCAAAGGAATTAACTATGACAATTCACCTTGATGTACAACAATTTAGTCTGTTTGGAGTTTCCACTGTTGGAAAATACCTAGTTATCCTAATTAAGAATAGTTATAGATAGTATAGTGATAGCCTTTTTTTTTTTTTTTTTTTTTTTTTTTGAGACAGGGTCTTGCTCTGTCACCCAGATTGGAGAGGGGCAGCACGATCATGGCTCACTGCAGCCTCAACCTCCCTGGGCTCAGTGATTCTCCCACTTCAGTCTCCTGAGTAACTGAGAATACAAGCACATGCCACTGTGCCTGAATATTTTTTCTATTTTGTTTTGTTTTGTAAAGATGGGGTTTTGCCATGTCACCTAGGCTGGTATTGAACTTCTGGACTCAAGTGATCCTCTCTCCTCAGCCTCCCAAAGTACTTGGATTACAGGTGTGGACCAGCATGCCATGCCTATAGTGATATCTTTAAGTAACCCTCTCTTTTCTTCTTTTGAGCAATTTTTCAAAGCAACAGGCATTTTATTAAATAAGAAAGTCGATGTGCTTTCCTAATGCCTGTTAATAAAGTAAAGAGCCAAGGAACCTCTGTGATTTCAATGAAATCCCTCCAGATATTATAGGCTACTTGTTACTGACAAGTATGGCAGGAACTGCAGGTCAAGCTGTGATAGGCAAATAGATCTTGCTGAAGAGGAAGAATGATTGGCTAAGATAATGCCCCAGGACAGCTGGCATACCTTTAGACACAGCTAAATTGAATGCTTTCTGAGGAGGAGTGTATTAGTCTGTCTCACACTGATATAAAGACATACCTGAGAATGGGTAATTGAAAAAGAAAAGAGATTGAATTGGCTCACAGTTCTGTGGGCTGTACAGACTTATGCTTATAGGGAGGCCTCAGGAAACTTACGATCATGGCAGAGGTGAAAAGGAAGCAAGCACATATTCACATGGCTGAAACGAGTCAGGGGAGGTGCTACACACTTTTTAAACAAGCAGATCTTGGGAGAACTTTATCATCAGACAGCACTAGGGTGATGAGGCTAAACCATTAGAAACCACCTCCATGATGCAAACACCTTCCACTAAGCCTCTCCTCCAACACTGGCAATTACAATTCCACATGAGATTGGGGATGGGGGGTGCACAAATCCAAACCATTTCAAGAAGCATTTTAAAAATTGAGGGAAGTTCTAATCAGATGGCAAGTCAGGATAGGGCATTCCATCAACATAACACTCCTCTCAATACATGCCAAAATGAGAGAAAGGAAAAAGTGCAAGGATGAAGAAGGGACACAGCAAAATGACAAGATGACTAACAAGATGACCCCTGTGGAAAGCATTTACTGATTCAACAACCAAATAATGAAGAAAATAAGAGCAAATTTGCTGAGTTTCTATGCTGTTTATGTTTATTAGGGAAGGGCAAAAGCCAGTCCCTCGACATTGTTACTGTTAATTAACATCATCACTACCTGCTCTTAAGTGTCTAGATACTTTCAAGAATCTAGTATTATCTTCACTTAAATGTTTCTTGGATGTGCCCTGTCATGAATGTGATATTGCAAAAAGATTCTACATTAACCACAGCAAGATGGCTATGTAATAATTGGGATCACTTTAGGGGAGCATATTTCTACCACATTTTGAGATGGAAAATGAAGTAAAGATATCCATTTGTCAATTTCTTCTACATTATGCCAAACATTCAAAGAGATTATTTTATTTATTTCAAAGATGTATACATGTTGAAATTAAAATTTAAATTAAGAAAATTTATTAACTGTGTCAAAAGAAAAGTAAGCGAGGCAGTTCTGCATGCCCTGGAAGTGTCAGGCATATATGACTAAAGTATTCGGCATTTGGCCAGGTGTGGTAGCTCATGCTGTCATTCCAGGATGTTGAGAGGCCGAGGCAGGTGGATTGCTTGAGCTCAGAACTTTGAGACCAAGCAAGGCAACGTGGTGGAACCCCATCTCTATGAAAAATATGAAAATTAGCCAAGCATGGTGGTGCCCACTTTTTAGTACCAGCTACTGGAAAGGCTAAGGTGAGAGGATCATTTGAACCCAGGAGGTCAAGGCTGCAGTAAGCTCTGGTCGCACCACTGCACTCCAACCTGGGTGAAAGAGGGACACCCTCTGCCCAGGACTCTTGGGATATGACTATACCCATAGGGATTGCCCTCAGTAACCTCACATTTGAGTGGAAGTGGAGATCATATGTACCTATACCAATATGTAGTGAAAAAGGAAAACATAAGAAATCATGGCAGAAATGGCACAAAGTATAAAAGAGGCTTGGTATAATTGAGAGAGGCTTTCTGGTGATAAAATTTGAACTGATTTCTGGAGAATGGGTTGAATTTCAATAGAGGGAGATGGACCAAAGTTAATTCTGATGAGGGAAATGTCTTGAGCAAAATCTAGAAAAGGGAAACATGCCCATTTTAAGTGTTAATGAGGGTCCAGTTGGGGTACAGTGCAGGAAGAGAGTTCTAGTGAAAAGGTAGTTGGTCTGATGGGTCAGGGTCTTGCAGGCAGAGGCAGATACTATCATTATTTCATTTTTCAGATTGGAAAACAGACACAGAGAGCCCAAGGTCACAAAGCCAGAAAGTGAATCTGGGCAGTCTAGCGGTAGCACCCTCTTCTTAAATGATCTATTAAAGGGCCTCTTCTCCAGGCACTCTAAAACTGTTCTCCATCTTTAGCTTCCCCAGAGTACAGTGAGGCCCCCTGTTTACCTCACAGGATGGGGTCTCAGAAAAGCAACAGATCCCAACTCATACTAGCTTTTAAATAAAAAAATATATAACCTTGCAAAAAAGAAGTGCAGAGGTTGGGAGAGAGCCAGCACTGGTTAATTCAGCAGCTCAACAATAAATCCAAGACCTGGGTATTGGTTCACCTCTCCACACCACCATCCTCATGGGCCAACTTCTACCTTCTCCTGAATGCTGTGTCTTTGCCTAGTTTTCTCCCTGATTGTAGCTCAAGTGCTACTTCCTGGGGGCAACCTTTCCTGCCTCCCTCTTGGGGTCAGTCCGCCTTCCCAGGCTCTTGTAGCACCCCTGGGTCTGCTGAACTTTCCCTTATTACATAATTCTGTGACTAATGTCAGCTCTTTCTGTTAGACTCTCAGCTCCACTAGAGAAGAAATTCTGTGCATGTTTGCTCACTATTGAACCCTGGAGTCTACTACTCAAATATTTGTCAAATGAGTAAACGGTAGCTCTGTGCAGGGCCAAGGAACACAAGAAACATGCAATCTGCCAAAATACTTATTACAGCTCACTCTCCTCTGGTGACATTTCCCTGAGGCACATTCCTGTTGGTTTCTTCCCCTCAAGAAGCATTCTTCTTTCTCCTTCCTATAAAAGCCAGGATTTTCTCAGATAGCCACACCATGCCCCATGCAAAGAGATCTGGATTATTCTACCATCTTGAGGCATTTCTGTGGAAACTGCTATCAGTCCAAGTGGCCCATGACCTAAGCTGACCCAAGCCAACTGAAGGGAGGACGTATTCTATGCATGCTGTGCAGTTCCACAGGGTGCTGGTTGTCCCAGCTGCTGCTGGTGGTCTTCATGTAGCCAAGGTACCACTAGTGCATATGGAGAAAACAGAACAACTGGAGAGAAACTGAGTAGGTAAAAGTGGGCAGGGCTTGGTGATGTTTGGGGATATGATATGAGCGATAAGACAGAGGATGGTCTTAGGAAAATCTCCTGTATTTTCCTTTTGGACAATGGTATAAATGAATGAAAGTTCCAATCGCTGGGATAGAAAACACTTGGAAAATATGAGATTCATTCAGGCAAGCCTTTCATACACTATTCCATAATCAGTTTCATAAGTGAAAGGGAGTCAGAACTCATTTCTACCTTGTTTGCTTCTATCATACTGTGTTGTACCCTGTTGGATCTACTTATCACATTCCTCCTGCTAGTGGACTTACCTACTAATGTTTGCACTTCTTCCTTGCCAGCCTGGAACCTCTGAGACAGCAGGAGCAGTGTGTGTGCATGCATGTGTGTGTGCACTTTTGTGTGTGTGTGTGTAATTGGATTCCCCACAGCACATTATTGTTTTATCCATAGTAAATGGTGGATGAATATTTGCATGATTTAGCTGGACTGCAGCATTGTGGAGGTCAGATAACCACATTTTGATAGACAAGTTGCATTCTAACCTTGAAGCAGACAAAATGCCCATTTTATCAGCCTCGCTCACACCAGCTGTGCTTTTCCTTTGTGGTTGTATGTTTAAGGAGCTCATCTAACAAGCTTCTTAAAAAGGGGATTGGCCTCAGGCTGCATGGCAAGGTGACTGTGTCTTTGAATATCCCAGATGGAGGCTGGTCACCCTTTTGTCTTTGGGTGAATAGACTACTCGGGAAGGCAGGGATGCATGCACTCCCCCTTTCTTGTTAATGAGTTTGCAATTTATTTTGGCAGATCTAAAATAATAATTCAAAGGCAGTGTAGAAGAAGATGGGGACATTACTTTCAATTGTTTAATATTGTTATGACATGACATGTGCTTACAGAAAGAGAGGCAAGCCACCATCTTCAAGGGAGGGCATAGTCATTGACTGTGATCCTGGTGTCCATGTTGGAATATCATGGCAACTGTCTCCCAGCACTGAACTCGATTACTTCTGCTGCATTCCCAGTGTTAGCTGAGTTGCTTAATTTACTTTCTTCAATGCCATGTGTGAAAGGGAAGCTAGAAAACTGCACTATGTATGGCTTCGTGCACTGAAAATTTGACATTATCAAAGGAGGCATGATCTTGTCTCTCTCTATCCCTCTCCAAATGTTTTCTATAATTATATTCAGAGGCTCATGGGTCTTACCATGGGTGATCAAGGAAGGGCTGGTAACTCTTTCAACCACAGGTAAAATATTACCAACATCTGAAACCTGCATTTTTACAGGTGAGAGAAATGAGGCCAGAAAAGTTAAGTGCATCATGTTGAGTACAATTTTATTTGGTGATCAGGCAGCCCTGGGTTCAAATCCTGGCTCTGTTGCTACCAATTAAGCCACTTAACTCCATCTGAGCCTCAGGTTGCCCATCTGCATAATAAGCAGTAACAGCAGCTGTCCTGCAGGACTACTGTGAGAATTACAACTCAGGTAATGATCATGATATTTCTTGGCAGAGGTGTTCACTACCTAGGTAGTGTTATTATTATTATGTCTAAAGTCACAAAGGGAGTTTTTGAGAAAGCTGGAATGAAAACTTGTTCCTCTCAACACTGAGCTTATTAGAGCACACCGTTTTGCTTGAATAAAGCAGCCCTGGAGTCTCTCAGGGGAGGGTGTTTGTAACATCTGCTCAGGCACGGTTTCATTTGCTATATACCCAGAGACTAGCACTGTACAAGTTGTTGGGAGATACTCATGTGAGTTGGCAGACTTTTGGTCAAATATTTTCCCTAAATCCAGGTCTCTATGGCATTCTACAGAACACTCTGCATCCTTCTAAGGGACACTGGAAGAGCAAATGGATTGTACAGTGAGTTACAAATAAAATGGCTAATCTCAGCATGAAAGGCTGAGGGTGTTACCTGAATGAGGATGCAGACCCTCCATCTACATACAAGCAAACCTAAGTGACCATGAGCCTGCCGGAAAGAAATCACATGCTATGTAAAGGCTTAGTAACAGTGATGAATATTTGAACCTGAACTCCAGCTCCAGAGCAGTTCAGTTGCATCTCTTCCAGGAACAGAAGCCAAAGCAGCTCAGGATTCTTGAAGGCTCTGAAAGGTCAATGAGAATCCTGGTATATGTCAAGACTATCCCACCAAAGAAGGGCTCCATGTGTAGAGACTTAGAAAGGATTCCCAACCTTGGCCCCTCCAAAACCAGAAACAAAGGTGGGGGACAGCCCAATTAAGTGGCCCTAGAGATTTGCCCAGGAGCTGGAGCCCTCCGGAGAAGTCCAGTTTTCCTATGCAGGGAGAGGACTGGGAGTTCTCTGGTCACAAGCCTTCTCCCTTTGTTTTCATGAAGCTATGTCTCTTACCTGGTAAGAAAAATGGAACTGCAGGCAGCTGCTGAAAACTTTAACCAAAAACCCATTGATGCTGGCACAAAGAAAGGAGGCCTGAAGAAAACAAGTGGAAAAGGGCTTGGAGTAACTGAGGTCAGCTGGATTCCTTAAACACTGCCCAGAGCCCTTGAAGCCAACTAAGGGCACACTTCTCAGGCCTGCTCCGAACCACACTCAACTGGGAATCTTTTAAGGACAGCTGCTCTGTTAGGCTTGCCTGAGATGGTGCAGTTTTACCCCGCGGCGGCAGAGGCACAGACAGTTAAGAATGCAGGAGCGGGGCCTCACAATGCCTTGGACTAGGGCAAAGGAAGACCCCCGCCTCTCCCCTCCCGGGGCTAAAACATGGGAGGACCCGGACCCGTGGATCCATTGACTCCGGTACCAGAGGATCCCCGCTCTCCAGCGCCCTAGACTGAGGCAGGAGAAGACCTCAGACCCACTCCGCCCTGAACTAGAGCACAGTGGGACCCGCGACCTGCCGTGGCCTCAGGCACTGGAGGACACCTGCAACGCCGTGCGCTAGACTGTGCTACTGAAGGACCTCTCCCGCGGCTCAGCCCTGGACTAAGGCACGGGAGGATCCCCGCCCTGTCCCGCCCCGCGGTGTCCTGGACTGTGCCACTGCAGAACCCCCACCCCTCCACACCCTGGACTCTGGCTCCCGAGGACCTGGGCCCCGGCTCGCCCTGAACTACTCCTGCCCCTCAGCGCCCTGGACTGTGGTTCCAGACTACCTGGTCCTGCGGCAACTTGGGCTACCACGTGGACTCCAGGACCCCAGTCCTACCAGGCCCTAGACTGAGACACGGGAGAACCTCTGACTCGCCGCCCCCTGGACTAGGGCACCAGAGGACCCACACCTTGCGGTGCCCTGGACTACAGCACAGAAGGACCCCCGATCCGCCAGGCACTGGGCTCCTGCACAGAGGGACGCCCGCCATGGAGGTCTGGACTACCCCTGCCCCACCGCACCCTGGATTACTGCACGCCAAGACCCTCACCTGAACGCGCCCTACACTCTGGCATGGGGGAACCCGGCCCCGCAGAGCCCTGGACTCTGACATTGGAGGACTCCTCGGCTACGTCCTGGACTCCTGCACAAGAGGACTCCTGCCCTGCCACACCCTGGACACCTGCACTAGAGAAACCTGCCCCGTCGCCCCCTAGACTATGGCACGGGAGGACCCTTGCCACCGACTTCGGCACGGTAAGACCCCTGACCCGCCTTGCACTGGATTCCAGCACTGGAGGACCCCCTGCCACGGCGCTCTCTGGACTACCCCTGCGCCACCGCGTCCTGCACTACAGCACAGCAGGACCGCCGTCCCACCGCGCACTGGACTGAGGCACAGCAGGACCACCACTCCCACATGCCCTGGACCACTGCAGGACAGGTCCCCCACTCCGCCGCGCCCTGGAATATGGCACTGGAGGACCCCCGTCCTGCCGCTCCGCGGACTCCACCACCGAAGACCCTCGCCCCCCTGCGCCCTGGACAAAGGCACGGGAGGACCCGGCTTCACCGACCCGTGGGCTATCGCATAGGAAAACCCCCACCTCCACCCCCACCCCGCGCCAGAGACTCTGACAAGAGAGGACCCCTGCCCCCTGCTCCCCGGACTACAGCAAGGCAGGAACCACCTTCCTCCAAGATCCTCACTATGGCAACTGTGGACCCCCGCCCTGGTACGCCCTGGACTAAGTCACCAAAGGACCCCGACCCCACAACGCCGTGAACTCCAGCATTGGAGGACCATTGCCTTACTGCGGACTCAAGCACTGGACTATCGCAGGGCAGGATCCCTGTCCCGCCATGCCCTACACTATGGCACGGGAGGACCCAGCCTCACTGTGCTCTGGACTCCAGCACCGGAGGACTCCTACACGGAGGACTCCGGCTCTGCCACGTCCTGGACTCCTGAACAAGAGAACCCCCGCCCCGCTGCACCTTGGATATAGCAAGGCAGGAATCCCGCCCTGTCGCGCTCTGGACTGTGGCACCTGAGGATCCACGCCCCAGCGCGCCCTGGACTACTGCTCCGCAGGACTCCTGTTCCACCGCACCCTGGACTATGGCACCAGAGGACCCAGCTCCCCGCGACCGGGACTAAGGCACCAGAGGACCCAGCCCCCTGGCGTCTTGGACTATGGCGCCAGAGGACCCAGCCTCTCGCATCCTGGACTATGGCACCAGAGGACCCAGCCTCCCTGCGTCATGGACTATGGCACCAGAGGACCCAGCCCCTCGCGCCCTGGACTATGGCAGCAGAGGACCCAGCCCCTCGCATCCTGGACTATGGCAGCAGAGGACCCAGCCTCCCTGCGTCATGGACTAAGGCACCAGAGGACCCAGCCCCCTCGGGCCCTGGACTATGGCAGCAGAGGACCCAGCCCCTCGCATCCTGGACTATGGCACCAGAGGACCCAGCCTCCCTGCGTCATGGACTATGGCACCAGAGGACCCAGCCCCTCGCGCCCTGGACTATGGCAGCAGAGGACCCAGCCCCCTGGCGTCCTGGACTAAGGCACAGTAGGACCCCGCAGCATCGTGTACTCCTGCACAGGAGGACCCTCGCAGGGCTGCGTCCTGGACTGAGCTACTGAAGGAGCCTCACCCCTGCCTCACCCTGGACTAAGGCACTGGAGAACTCTTGCTCTGCAGAGCCGCGGACTCTTGCAGGAGAGAACCTGCGCCCAGCCGTGCCCTGGACTGTGGCACAGCAGGGCCCACACCGCGCCATGGACTCCTGTACTGGAGGAAGAGTAGTGACAAATGTCCAGGTTTACAAGTTGAAAAGTAGCAATCAATGTGTTACAATGGATGGATTTGATGTAAAATTACAAATGCTGAAAACATTATGTGTAATTGCCTAGCCAGATCAATTACACAAGACAAAGAAATAAAAGAAATCCATATAGGGAAGGAAGAGGTAAGATTGTTTCTGTTTTCTGAAAATATAATCTTAAGATACAGAAAATCTTTTTTATTATTAATGTTCTGTTTACTTATTTTTATAATATTTTATAAATAAACTTTATTCATATAAAACAGGCCAAACATCTGACATTCAAAAATGGCTACTATTATAAAATCAGAAACATAGTCAGAGTGTTGGGAATATTGAAATTTCTAAATCTTTATGAATAACACAATCACTTACGTTATATCCACAAAGAACAGAAAAGAGGCAAGCTTGAAAATGTGAGGATAGAAAGGTGTCACAGTGATGTGTTTTTAGAAACAGTACCTTCACCTCTAAGCACCTTTCAGGTAGGTGATAGCTAGCTCATAGGCACCAGAAATTCATAACAGAAATTAAATTACCCAAAAGGCACAGAAGAAAATGTTAACACAAGTATAAAAGTAATTTTATGTAAGATTAAAACCTATTTTAAAATGCTTCCAAATATGTAAAACTATAGACAAATCCATTACACATTCAGCTTAAGTTTACCATTAAAAAGTGTACACACAATACTCTAACTGTAAATACATGCCACTGTTTATAATGTAGCATTTACCACCACAGCACCCAAAGATATTAACAGAAACCAACTCCCTACTAAAATCTAGGGAAAGGTTTTACAGCTAGTGAAATAATTTATTGCAGACCGTATTTATTATAAAGAAACTGTTGGCTCATTCTACTGTATCCACACTCCCTCACAATCTTAAGGGAAATACAATAAATCCACTTTCTTCTCCTAAAATGATATTTAGCACATTTGGCAAGGAGAAGTAGTCCCTTTACTCCTTCTTCTTATCTTTTTTTCTTTTTCTTTTTCTTTTTCTTTTTTTTTTGAGAATAAACCACTTTCACAAAACTAAGACTCAAACTTTTTCAAAGCTCAGCTTGATTTGCTGGAACTACACAGAGACATGCTTGATCACACAACAGCAACTGTACATCCTCCCACGTCTGGAATACAGAATTGATGGAGGACACTTACTTGCTTAAAATATATTTGATTATTCTGCATTTATGATAAAAATATCATCAAGGGATCATATTCAAGAGGGTAAATTTAGGATTACATGTTTCTAGAACATATAATATGTAATGCCATGCCAAACCAACAACAAACAACATAAAGCACTGAAACTGAAGAACCACTTAAAATTTAGAATTAGGAAATTTCAATCTATAACTGTCAAACAATAAATGAGTTATAATATTTTTCTAATAAGAAAAATATCACCTAAAGTGGAAAGCCAGTATTTAGTCCGGAACTATGAGATACTACATCCTTGATCTGGCTGGCCACCATTTTAAAGACCACCACAGATCTCAAGGCATGAGACCACTCACCAACAAAATCTATCCCTGCTATTGCACCTAGTGTCATCTCAATATGTGGCTGACAGCAAATGTTCTAACTTAATCTGATAGATGCTCCTTTAGCATATAAAAGAGCTTGCTAAGTCCCTATTACCTGTAGCAGTCTATCAACTAAATATTTAAGAAATCATTTCATAGACAAGGTTTATGAATGACTTAGAAGTAAAATTAGTAATTTCTAAACCACTGTAGAGTTTTCTATGTTTTTAGAGATATTCCTAACACAGAGTTTTCCAAGGAGCTGTGAAAACAAGTACAAACACACATGTGTAATTTTGTCATGGATGTTTCTGTACTAATTTGGGGGAGACTAGTGGGCCATAAATAAATGAGATACACATCCTAAAAATAATGGTAAAAATTATCAAGTACCACTTTCAGATGGTTACTCAAGTATCAACTTGGTATGCAAGTAAGTTCACCAATGTCTTCACTTATGATTTCATATTCAAAGTGCTACATCTTACTTAGGTACTGATAAATTTAGAAACCTTTATAATCAACCTCTTAAAGAAAATCCAGCTTTTTCCGATGGTAAACTTGTCTTTACTAACTTTAATGCCTGTAACTATTTCGATATAACCAAAGAAAAATTTAAAAAAATATATTCCTTACAGCTCCTGATTAACTTATTTTTGGATACATTTTGAGGCTAGTAACAAAATTTAGACCAGAATAGGTTTTCATATATCAAAAAAGGAAAGGAACACGGAGAGCACAGATGAGACGTATGGAGGCTCTATACTATAGACCCATCCTTGCTCTGTGCGGGAATCATCACAGGAATCACGCCCATTCGACTTAGATTAGGGGCAGCTACCTTAGCAGGTGGGAGAGTCGGACTCTGAGGAGTGCGTTCAAAGTCTTCACTCGGTACTTGTTTATACTGAGTCTTGGAATATCCTTCCATGTTGGAAGGAGACATGGATCCCAGGGATGAATGATTACTGCCTATGCAGCTTCTGGCAGCGGACGTACGGCTCTTTGGAGGCGGCACATCTTCCCTGATATCGTGATGAACTTACTTTTCGTATTTTTCTTCTCTGCGCTTTTTACGACAGCAAAAGATGATAAGACCAATGAGCACTAGAGCAAGCAAAGTTCCTATAATGGCTCCTGCAATTAGTCCAGCTTTATTTGAAGGAGGGACAACGTTTACACGCAACAGGCACTGATCAGAGCCCACTCCGTTTCTGATGTACAGCTGTATGTCCCAGAGTACTCAGAAGAAGCATTTTTTTTACAGATATAACAGATGAAGTCATTTCTGCTAACCATGAAGTGGGCATTTTCTGTGAGTCAGACAATTTTTGCCACTCATACTGTAATGGAAGTGAACCTTCTTTTGGTTCACATTTTAGTTTAAAGTCACTTCCAATTTCTTCTGATCCATCAACATAACATCTTGTACCTGAAGGCTTAACAAGAACTACCAGCTGAATCTTCTTATTTGCAACACCAGGAGCTTTTTTCACTTTGCACTGATCTGTGCCAATATCTGACAGCTGTAAATTCGTTACATTTATTGAAGCATCACCAGATTTGAGATCATTTCTCTTAAAATGTACTCGGCCTTTCAGTTCTGGATAGTAATCATCATAAATTTTGTTTCCAGAATATAAAATCATCACTTGATCCATCTTCTGATTATCAGCTGGTGATATCAGCCACTCAATGTCCAGTGGTCCCTGGTCTTCAGGACTAAGTATAATTTGCATGGCAGATAGGTAGTTTCCCCTTTGGCTTTTTCAATCATCTGCTCAGGAGTAGTGATACTCAAACTTCTGGTGAAATCCGCGACTCCGCACAGGAGCACGAAGCGCAGCAGGAACGCCATGGTGGCTGCCGTGCCGTGGGCGGCGGCTGCAGGTAGGCGGCTCTCGCTCCAGGTCCTAGGCTCCCCGCGCCTCGCGCACTCAAGATAGAGAAAATCTTAAAGACTCCACCAAAATAAATGGTTAAAGCTGATAAAGAAATTCAATAAAGTTAATAGTTACAAAATCAACATACAGCTAGCATTATTGTTTCTATACACTAATGACAAACTATTACCTGAAAAATAAAGTAATAAGGCAATTCAATTTATAATAGAATCAAAACAGATATAAAAATATATAAAAGACTTAGGAGTAAATTTAATCAAGAATGTGAAAGATTTGCACACTGAAAACTATAGCACATTGATGAAAAAAATTAAAATGGCATAAATAAATGGAGAAACATCCTTTATTGATGGATTCAAAAATTAGTATTGTAAAAGTGTCAATGCTACCCAAAGCAATCTACAGATTAAATGCAACCACTATCAAATTCCCCGAAATAGAAAAATTACTGCTAAAATTTGTATGGAACCACAAAAGACCCCGACTAACCAAAGCAATCTTGAACAAAAAGAACAAAGCTGGAGGTATCAGACTACCCAATTCCAAACTATATTACAAAGCCATAGTAATTAAAACAACATAGCAGTGGCATAAAAACAGACAGGTAGAACAGTGCAAAGGGATATAGAACCCGTAAATAAGTCCGTGTGTCTGTGGTCAACTGATTTTTTGATAAAATGACTAAAAATACACAATGAAGAAAGAAAATTATTTTCAATAAATGGTATAGAAAAAACTGAATATCCACATACAGAAGAATAAAATTTGACTTTCCTTTTGCTCTTTATACAAGTATCAAATCAAAATTAAAGACTTAAATGTAAAACTACTACAAGGAAATATAGAAGAAGACTGTATGACATTGGCCTGAGCTATGATTTTCTGTAGATTATTCCAAAAGCACAGGCAACAAAAGCAAAAACACACGAATGAGATTGCATAAAACTAAAAAGCTTTTCCACAGGAAAAGAAGCGATAATAGAATGAAGAGAACCCACAAATGGGATAACATTTTTAAACCATACATCAGATAAAGGGCTCATATAATAATATATAAGTAACTCAACCTACTCAAAAATAAGAATAAAACTATGCTTATTAAAAAAATAAGCAAAGAACCAGAATAGACATTTCCTAAGGCATACAAAAGGCCAACAGGTACATGAAAAAATCAAAAACATTTCTAATTATCAGAGAAATGCAAATCAAAGCCACAATGAGATATCACCTCACACATTTTACTAAGGCTATTATAAAAAGAGACGGAAGATAAGTGTTGATGAGGATGTGGAGAAAAAGAAACCCTGTACACTGTTGGTAGGAATGGAAATTAGTACAGCCATCTTGGAAAACAGTATGAAGTTTCCTCAAGAAATTGTAAGTATATTTACCCTATGATCCATCAATCCCACTTCTGGATATATGTCCAAAGGAATTTCAATCCGTATGTCAAAAAGAGACATCTGCAATTTCATGTTCGTTGCAGCATTATTCATAATACCCATGAATTAGAAACAACCTAAGTGCTTATCAACTGAAGAATGGATAAAAATATGTGGAAAAATTGGAACCCTTCTACACCACTGGTGAGACTTTAAAATGTAAAACAGTCTGGCAGTTCTTCAAATGGTTAAACATAGAGTTATCACATGACCCAGCAATTCCACTTCTGTGTGTTTACCAAAAAGAAAATAAAACAAATGCTACACAAACAGTAGTACACAAATGTTTATAGCAACACAAAGTAGAAAACAACAGAAATGTTCATCAGCCGAGGAGTGGATAAATAAAATGTGGTGTGTCCATAAAACAGAATCTTATTTAGCAAGAAAAGGTAAAAAACTGTTAATGCATGCTCCAAAATGGATGAACATTAAAAATACGTTAAGTGAAAGATGTGAGTAAAAAGTGACTATGTGTTATTATGATTCCATTTATGTGAAATGTCCAGAATAGGCAAATTCATAGTCAGAAAGTAGACGAGTGGTTGCCTAGACTAGGAGGGGTTTAAAAAAGGCTGGAGAAAATGGGGAAGATTGCTAATGGGTGCAAGTCTCTTTTAAGGAGAATTAAAATGTTCTAAAATTATATTATGATGATTATTTGTCCATCCAGTTAATATACTAAAAGAATTTGAAGTTTGTACTTTAAATGAGTGAATTACACAATGTATAAATTATATCTCAATAAAGCTGTGGAAAGTTAAAAGTATATGTAGGATGCATACAAAAATACAGCTTATCTTTATAAATGAATGAAATTCTGTCATTTGCAAAAACATGGATGGATTTAGAGGACATTATGCTAAGTAAAATAAGCCAGACACAGAAAGACAAATATCTCTTAATATCACTTATATGTGAAATCCAAAACTGTGCACTCATAGAAGTTAAGAGTAGAATGGTGGTTTATCAGAGGCTGAGCAGGGTGGGGGGCAGGGGTGGAAAAAGGGGAAATATTCAATGGGATAATGCTTCAGTTAGGAGAAAGACATTCTGGTGATATGGTGCACAGCAAAGTGACTGCAGTCACTTATAATGTAGTGCATATCTTAAAAGTGCTAAAATAGTACATTTTAAATGTTTCACCATAATGTAATAAATATCTGAGGTGAAGGATATGTTTTTTAGCCTAATTTGTCCATTTCACAATATTTACATGTATCGTACCACATTGTACCCTATATATATTTATTTATCAATAAAATCAACATTTTAAAAAGTGAGAAACACAGATGTGCTAGATCTTCATCTAAAGACATTTCTGAGAAAAATGTATCTGTTTTCTTTCAAAAGAAATTTACACTTAATAGATATTATAGTAACTAAAGTAAGGCAGATAATTTCGGCCATCAGCTTATATTATGGGATAATCTCTTTTTGCTGACCTTGTAAAAGCTGTGGCATATTAACAAGTAGGAACATTTTTTTATCACGATCAGGTAAAGGTTCTGCATGTTTCTATTTTGAATAATATTTTCCCCAGGAATCACAAAGTGTGAATGCCTTTTATTTCAGAGGTCTAGCCCTAAATGGTTTAGTCAATTACATCATGCATTCTGAAATAAGTACTGGTGCATTTGGGAAGGTACCATATACAATTGTGTTTTAAATTTAACTATCATATAAGTCTACTTTTCTAGTTAAGAGTCTATATTTTATAGAGGCCCTCCATATATATAAGAGCTTTTCTGATAGTATACCCATTAGATTTCAAAGATAAGTAAAGGAACAATTTTGCTTTTATTTTTTATTATTATTATTTTTTAAGGCTAGTCAAGTGAAGCAGTGGGAGTGGAGAAGGAACTGCTTTCATTTTTATATGTTGGTGTTACAGGCTATATGTGACAGGCTATATATTTTTCTGCTGAATTTTAGAAACAAAATGAAATATTTATTTCATATTTCATTAGATTTAGGGATGATTACATTGAGGGGTTGGGACTAGACTGAAGGCACCACATCATCAATCACTTGGAAACAATATTTTGCCTATGTGTTATGTTATATTGACAAAAACTTTTATTGTTGCAGGCAATATATCTCCCTATTGAAATATGTGAAAAACGTAGAGAAAAAAAGACAATATTTGTTATCAAGGGATATTTAGGCCTGAGATGCATGATGCTAATATTCAAAACATACACTTTTTAAAAATTAGATTTAAAATGTAAATTGAAGCAGGACATTTAGAAAAAGACATAATATCTACTATAAAAGTCCTGGGTTAGAAAAGTTAAAATGCTAAATGAAAAAATAATGCTTCTTGGGTGGCTTAGAATCGAATATGAGACAAAAGATTACTCAGAAATTTTTCTAAGATTAAAAACATGTATACAGTTTCTTTGATATAAAATGAAATAAATGTCTGGATATAACTTTAACAGAATAGAATAGGGAGACAAGGGCAAAGAGCAGGTGTATGCAGAATAAAGTGAACATATTATTGTAATAATGAGAGGGACAGAGTTGAATGATTGCTCTTGGAGACAAGGGATTTTGATGTCTAAGTTAATGACAAATCTTTTGTTTGCAAGTTAAAAAATGTAACTTAAACCTGGTGAAGGAATAAAGGGTGGTTGGGGGGATGATTCTTTGTACACTAAACTTATTTTAATGACTAATGAATTAATCATAAGTTCAAATGATTTTATGGAGGCCCTTTCTTTATTTGATATTTCTGGACTCCTTTTTTCTTTGTATGTGCTCCATTTTTACCTACTTGAACAATTTTTACCCTCAAAGTTTAGGAAACACTGTAACCAAATGTTCCAACATGATGTAATCCCTGAAAGCATTTGCAGCTGGGGGAGTAGGGGAAAAGGGGTTTCTCTTTCAACAAATGCATGTTAATCTCAGTGAAAACTCAGAAGTTTAAACATGGTCCCCCTTGGGTCATGTGGCTACCCCAGGACCAATCATTGCACCAGACATAGGAGATAATCTCAAAAGCCAGGTTGGAGTCAAGGTTCTTCAGTGGAATTTCCACTTTAGAAATCAGTTTTGTCAGGCTTTGTGTTTGCATATTACAGACATGATAGCCATATAGCTATCTATTCCACTTCCGGTAGAGATGAAAACCTAAGAGCATATGACCATTCAAAGGATTTTACATGAATCTTCATAGCAGCTTTACTTGCAACAGCCAAAACCTGAAAACAGTTCAAATATCCATGGACAGGTGAATTTGTGATTTATAAACTTACTATGGTATCTGTATATAATGAAATAATACTCCCTAGTAAGAACAGAACAATTGATAGATGTAGCAACATGAATAAATCTCAAAAATAGTGATGCTGAGTGATCAGAAAGTATACGTACCCTATGATTTTATGTATTTGGAAATAAAAACTCATGGATAGTGACTGGAAGTGGATCAGTGGTTGCCTGTGGATGGAATGGGGATAGGCAGGAAAAAGTGAGTAGAAAAAGCACAAGGAAACTTTGGTGGTAAAGGTAATGGGTATGTTTGCTATTTTAATATGTTGTTGGTTTTGTAGAGCTACAAATGCCAAGAATTATCAAAATGTACAATTGAAGTATGTGCAGTTTATTGCATGTAAATAAACCTTTTAAAAATTAACTGATACAAATTGACTTACATGACCAGAAAGCTCTTGAAAAACTCTCCTGTTTTCTCCCCTATTTTTATTCTTGCATGCCCTTATAGCCTGTGTTAACACATTTCTCATCTTACCATTCTTTTGTGTCTACATTTCTCCAGGTCAATATAACTACCACCATAATTTCTTGGTTTCTCTTTAGTTCATTAGTAATTATGAGTAATGTATTGAAATGTTAAAGATATGTTCATGCATTCAGAATCCTCTGCTCTCTGATCCACATAATAGTGAATTATGCTGTCAATAATTACACAGTATAGTGCTTTTTTTCTTTTTTGAGACAGAGTCACACTTGGTTACCCAGGCTGGAGTGCAATGGTGCATTCTGGGCTCACTGCAACCTCCACCTCACGGGTTCAAGTGATTTTCCTGCCTCAGCCTCCTGAGTAGCTGGGATTACAGGCATCTGCCATCATTCCTGGCTAATTTTTGCATTTTTATTGGAGACAGGGTTTCACCATGTTGGCCAGGCTGGTCTTGAACCTCTGACCTCAGGTGACCTGCCTGTCTTGGCCTCACAAAGTGCTGGGATTATAGGCATGAGCCACCACACCCAGCCAGAATATTGCTACTTTTGCAAATAGCTACAATTGACCCTGATCTGGACTTTGAGTTGATCACAGCTTTGTAAAAGAGGATAGCATTGTAAACTACAAAATTAGCCTAATAATAAATAACATAGAATGCTTTCAGTATAAGAAATAATACTATCCTAAGCAAAAATAAATAAATAAATAAAAGTGGAGGAATTATATTATCTGACTTCATATTATACTACAGAATTATAGTAACCAAAAGAGTAGGGTACTGGCATAAAAAGAGACCCATAGATCAATGGAACACAATAGAGAACCCAGTAACAAATCTATATACCTACAGTGAACTCATTTTTGACAAAGGTGCCAAGAACATACACTGGTGGGAAATGGTGTTGAAAAAACTGGATATCCATATGCAGAAGAATGAAAACAGACTAGTATCTATCACCGAATACAAAAGTAAAATCAAAGTTGATTAAAGATGTAAAGCTAGTACCTCAAACTATAAAAAAATCTCCAGGACATTGGTCTGGGCAAAAATATCTTGAGCAATACCCGACAAGCACAGGCAACCAAAGCAAAAATGGACAAATGGATCACATTAAGTTAAAATGCTTCTGCACAGAAAATGATACAATCAACAAAGTTAAGAGACAATCCACAGAATGGGAGAAAATATTTGCAAACTACTCATCCAACAAAGGATTAATAATCAGAATATATAAAAAGCTCAAACAACTCTTTAAGAAACAATCTAATAACCTGGTTTAAAAAAAGGGGGCAAAAGATTTGAATAGATATTTCTCGAAAGAAGACCTACAAATGGCAAACAGGTATAAGAAAAGGTGCTCAATATCACCGATCATCAGAGAAATGCAAATCAAAACTACAATGAGATATCATCTCACCACAGTTTATATGACTTGTATGCAAAAGACAGGCAGTAACAAATGCTAGCAGGGATGCAGAGAAAAGGGAACACTTGTACACTGCTCCTGGGAATGTAAATTAATAAAACCACCAAGGTGAACAGTTTGGATGTTTCTCAATAAACTAAAAGTTGAGCTACCATATGATCTAGCAATCCTACTGCTGGGTCTATACCAAAAATGAAGGAAATCAGTATGTCAAATACATATCTGCACTCCCATATTTGTTGCAGCACTGTTTACAAAACTAAGATGTGGAAGAAACCTTAGTGTCCATCAACAGATGAATGGATAAAGAAAATGTGGTACATATACACAATGGAGGACTATTCAGCTGTAACAAAGAACAAGATCCAGTCATTGTCAGTAACACTGATGGAACATTATGGATCATTATATTAAGTGAAATAAGCCAGGCGCAGAAAGACAAATGTTACATGTTCTTACTTATTTGTGGAATCTAAAATCAAAACAAACTCATGGACATATGGAGTATAAGGATGGTTATCAGAGGCTGGGAAAGGTAGTTGGGGGGGAGGTTTGTGGGAAGGTGGGGATGGTTAATGGGTATAAAAATAGAGAGTTAATAAGACCTACTATTTTATAGCACAATAGGGTGACTATATCCAATAATAATTTAATGGTACATTTTGAAGTAACTAAGACTGTAATTGCATTTTTTATAACTTGAAGGATAAATGCTTGAGGGGAGGGATACCCCATTCCCCAAGATGTGCTTATTTCACATTACATGCCTGTATCAAAACATCTCAGGGACCCCACAGATACATACACATACTACGTACCCACAACATTTTTAAACAATCTAATACAATTTTTAAAATAGCACTTATTTTTTGTTACCTTCAACTATTGTAAAATATATTCTATTATTTATGATTAGACTTGTTTGAAAACAAATTTTAAAAACACTATTTAAGACCAGATAAATGGACTAGGAGTAACTTGCATAAAAATGACAGAAATTGCTGCTACTTCTTCTAATTATTGAGATGGTATTTCTATATTTGTGAAATTATCTGTGATAGAAAATTGAATTGTTTCCAACATTATTATTTTTCATAATTCCACATGTTATATTGCTACTTCTTTAAAAGTGGCCTTTAAAATATTACCAATCTATTTTAAAGTCTACTTGCCAAAACATTAAACTATTCTTTAAAAAAGTAATTTATTTAATTACCTAACATCCTCAAGCAATGTCCTAATTTTCTCAAGCAATTATCTGATTTTCTCAAGCAATTGATATTAGCAAGTTGTGCTAGCTAACTGCTGAGAATCATTGTCTACATATGAGATAAATCATCTGTCAATCCTTTAAAGAAGACTTTATGAGCCATAGAGATTGTAGTCCAATCTGTATCACTGACTTTAAACATTGGATAATTGACACTCCGTGTTGTCTGTAAGCCTATTTCACAGCAGCTGAGTGATGTTAATAGATACTTCTTGGAGTGCCATTTTCCTTATAACCCTTAGATTAATTCAGATTGACTGAGTTCTGTGTCAGTGGAAATTGCCAGAATTATATCATTGTGCTTTGCATCTAGTTTCACTTTTCCAAAAGCCTATACAGATTTCAGATGTTTAGAAAATAGCTCTTGTTTTCCTTCTGGGTAATCTTTTTCATGTCACCACTCTTGTCAGCATCTGCATTGGGCAAATTTCCTAGGACCTCCCTTCTGCGTCTTTTAAAAAATGAAAACAAAATCAATGTAGCGCAGCAAGCCAGGGAGTCTGCTTTGATTGACTTATGGCCATAGTCACCCAGCAGTTCCTTCAGATGTGGCTTCCCAGGTCAGCCACTGAGCCCACCGCTGTCCTCCTGCCTGCAGAAGTGGCTCTGTGAGCCGTTTGAGGAGAAAATGGGGGACTTTGGGCTTCAGCCCGAGGAGAACAGGGTGGAGATGGAGGAGCCCCTGGGCGTCCGCAGGTTAACTGAAAACATGAGAAAACACAAGCACGGGACCAAGTCTTTCACTAACCTGTAAAGAACTCTCACCAAGCCGACTGGGCACTTTGTCTCAGCGCCTGCCTTTGCGACCACTGTGTGCGGGAATGCCTGGGGCACGACTGGGCCATCCCAGTGTTCTTATGTCTATACATTCCGAGGTTACCCCTCAGCAAAATGCCAGAGGCTGTCAGACACAGCGGAGCATCCTGCAGTAGGGATCCGAAGCCGTGGAATCTCCAAAGGACCACTTGACCGCGTCCCAGAATCTCCAGCTCAGGCCGGACATTGCCCAGAAAGCCCACATCGTCTTTGGCAATATCTCCCGGATTGTGGTTTTGATTTGCATTTCTCTGATGGCCAGTGATGATGAACATTTTTTCATGTGTCTGTTGGCTGCATAAATGTCTTCTTCTGAGAAGTGTCTGTTCATATCCTTCCCCCACTTTTTGATGGGATTGTTTGATTTTTTCTTGTATATTTGTTTAAGTTCTTTGTAGATTCTGGATATTAGCCCTTTGTCAGATGGGTAGATTGCAAAATTTTTCTCCCATTCTGTAAGTTGCCTGTTCACTCTGATGGTAGTTTCTTTTGCTGTGCAGAAGCTCTTTAGTTTAGTTAGATCCCATTTGTCAATTTTGGCTTTTGTTGCCATTGCTTTTGGTGATTTAGACATGAAGTCCTTGCCCATGCCTATGTCCTGAATGGTATTGCCTAGGTTTTCTTCTAGGGTTTTTACGGTTTTAGGTCTAACATTTAAGTCTTTAATCCATCTTGAAAAGTTAATAATAATAAAGATAATAATATGGAAGAAATTAAAAAAAAACCTCCCGGAGACCAGGAACTTGGTCGGGGCGCGCGGCCTGAGATCACCCCAAGCTCTGGGTGCCTTCCTATCCTTCTGCTTCTTCCTTGGCCGCTTTAGGGGGCGCGCCTCGCCGTGGGTCTCCCTGCGGGTGGTGCAGTGGTGCTCCTGGATGTCACCTCCAGGCGCTTTTGAGACTGCGGCAGGCACCGGGCACCAGGCACCTGCGGATTGGCCTCCCCAGACCGGGCTCAGGAACCTCCAGTGCTCCGCAGTGCGGGCTGCAGGCGACCTCAACGTGGAGCTGCTGCCAGCACCACAGGCCCCAGGGGAGGCCCAGGATGCTGCTTCCCCGCCCCAAGAAGGGCAGTTTGGAGGAAAGTCTTTGGCCTGATGGAAGGCGGCGCCCATCGGGGACGGGGCTGAGAACTAGGCTGGCGCCGCTGCCTGGTAAGCGGGGACCAAGAGGCCCACGGCCTCCATCAGGAACCAGGTGCTTCTCCAAATCCCGGATTTCCAGGAGGAACAACGGCGTCAAGCTGGCTGACACCAGGAACACCCAGAAGTCCCCGCTCCTGTCTGTCCTTCCGCACTCAGGAGCGGGGATGGCCACGGGGACACCATCCGCCCACAAACCGCTGGCGTTTGCTGCCATGGTGCGCGGAGATGCGGTCCCCGAGGAGGCCACTTTCGGCCAGGACGCCGGGACCGTATCAGCAGCAGCATCCCGCGCTGACACTCAGTATTGACTTTCCCCGGACATTGCTGGATTTTTTGCTTTTTAAAACAATTTTGCAGTGGGAGAACAAAAAAGGGCATCCTCAGAGCTTTTGCAAAATTCTCCTGGACCTGTGGTTCTATGGTGTTCACCTCTGCGTTTTACGGACCACTAATTGGCCAGAGCTCGTAAGGCCTATAAGGGCCCCACCCAGCGCTTTAGACACCCCTGAGGGACATTCGCAGCTCAGGAGGATAAAGGTCCTCAGGGGCCTGCCGCGAGGAGGACATGCAGCCCCTCGGCCACCACATCTTCCTCCATTCCAGCCTGGAAAGAGAGACCTTGCCCTCCACCTTACAGGCCTTCATGACCTTGGGACCCACTCTAGAGGCCACGCGCATTTCCACTGCCAAAGCAATAACACAGGAGATGGAAAGAAATTCTTGGCCAGGCGCGGTGGCTCACACCTGTAGTCCCAGCACTTTGGGAGGCCAAGGCGGGCAGATCACGAGGTCAGGAGATCCAGACCATCCTGGCTAGCAAGGTGAAACCCCGTCTGTACTAAAAACACCCAAAAGGTGGCCGGGCTTGGTGGCGGGCTCCTGTAGTCCCAGCTACTCGGGAGGCTGAGGCGGGAGAGTGGTGTGAACCCGGGAGGCGGAGCTTGCAGTGAGCCGAGATCGCGCCACTGCACTCCAGCCTGGGGGACAGAGCGAGACTACGCCTCAGAAAAAAAAAATTTTGCCTTCACTATATGCCTAAGTAATTTCTCTATTAGAGCTCAGAGTCGTGGGGCCCACACCGCCAGCTGACACATGAAAATGTGGCAATGATGTGGTGGTGTCTCTGTGTGGCAGCGTGGTGGTGTGTCTGTGTGGTGGTGTGTCCGTGTGGCAGAGTGTCTGTGTGGTGCTATGTCCATGTGGTGGTGTGTTCATGTATCTGCATGGTGATGTCTCCGTGTGACAGTGTGTTTGTGTATCCATGTGACAATGTCTGTGTGTCCTTGTGTCCACATGGCAGTGTCTGTGTGGTGGTGTCTGACAGTGTGGAGGTGTGTCCATGTGACAGTGTGGCGGTGTGTCTCTGTGTGGCAGTGTTCATGTGGCAGTGTGTTTGTGTGTTCCTGTGATGGTGTGTCCATGTGACAGTGTAGTGATGTCTCTTGTGTGTCTGTGTGTCCCTGTGATAGTGTGGTGGTGTGTCCATGTGATGTCTCCGTGTGTCTGTGTGTCCCTGTGATAGTGTGGTGGTGTGTCCGTGTGGATTTCTCCGTATGTCTGTGTGTCCGTCCATGTGAATGTGCCAGTGTGTCCATGTGACGGTGTGTCCGTGTGGTAATGTCTCCGTGTGTCTGTACATGTGACAGTGTGGTGGTGTGTGCGTGTAACAATGTGGCGGTGTTCCCTTCCCGGCTTGCGGAGCTGGCCTCTTTCCCTCTCAGCCCAGGACGCCCCAGGAGACCCCCAGCTTGGAGGGCAGGAGGTGGCTTCTGTGGAGGGAGGAGCAGGGAGCCCCAACAGCCGAGTTTGTGGGGTCCCCTGCATTGGGTGGGAGTGAGGAGAAAGGCGCCGGGGCAGCCAGGACAAGCCTGGGCCTGCCCTAAGGAGGTGACCCACTCTGGGCCTGCATTTTGGGGCGAGCACTCCAGCTCGGTCATCTTGTCCTAAGTCCTTTGTGTGCCGTGGAGATTGCTGAGTTTTGAAGAAGGGAAGGTCATCTTTGTCGCGGAAAGCCTGATGTGTTTCTCTATTGCTGTCACTTTTCAGCCTCATTGCTGGTGAAACATCAAACATTGGGCACATTCTGCCAAGAAAACACCCGGAAGAAAATGTGGGGACTGGCAGTATCAAACCAGAGGAGTCACACACAGATTTCTGTTTGGTTGGAGATCTGCCGTTTTTCCCTGTGGTTTGGGGAAGCGGAGCAGCTCTGCAACGGGAAGGAAGGTGGGTTCTGTGCGGCCAGGAAGGTCCTGGCCCGGGGCAGAGGGGCGAGAGGGGATGTGCGGCGAAAGGCTGTGCAGGGCAGCGGGCAGTGTGCATCGCCCCTACTGCCGGGCGCCCAGGAGGAGGACAGGTCCCAGCCTGGCGGGAGCAGAGGCGGCAGGGCTGGAGTCCCCACACCGGGCTTGAGGGCCGGCGGAGCCGCAGGCTGTGGCCGAGGGGGACTCCCGGGCACCTGGTGGGCGTCCCCATGACCAGGATACACACCGGGCTCCGGAGGCCAGGCGGACCAAGCTAGGGGTGCCAGGGGAGGCTCGAGGTTCCCGCGGTGGGAGGTGGGTCCCTGGACCCTGGTCTCCTGCTGCTGTCCCACACATGGGCTGCCTTCGCTCAGGGGCACCCCGCCAGTGTCGCCTATCTGGGACCTCAGCGCAGCTCCTAGCAGGCGGGAGGCTGAGGCAGAGACCTCAGGGCCCAGCTGGGTCTGCAGTTTCCACCACTCGTGACGCAGGGCGAGCTCAAGCTGTGCCGCCCAGGCAGGAAACCCTCCGACCTTGCCAGCTTTGGCGCCAGCCTTGGTGACTCTCTCCAGCTCAGCTTCAACACCTTTCAACAGTTCTGTGTTCGCTATTATCACAAGAATTCTTTCTGTATTTCCTATCCTTTATCAAATAGGAATTTAAATATGCATATGGAGTGATATCACAGTTGAAACATTAAACAATATACAATTTCATGTGTCTTTTTTTAATATATAATTTTCTAAAAAGTAAAATTATGACTCTACTGCAAATATAAGATAAACACATATCAACAATGTTTTTCAACTCAATAAGCGATGAGGGTTCCAGTAAATAGGTTCAAATCCTTGCGAGGAACATTAAAGGAGCTTTACAGCCAGTGTTAAAGTCAGATCGTTGGGTACTTACAGTACTGGTTAGTATCCAACATAGCCAGAAGCTGTCATCTTTGTGAGTTCTCTCTTCCATGGCACAGAAATAATGTGTTTTTCTACTGTACAAAATATTTATCTTTTCTACTACTTCTGCACATAAAAATATTGCTAGTCAGAAAAGACCAGGATTGCACTGAAAAAAAATCTCAGTAATATCTCTCACCTGTATTCATACTTCTTTTCTTCCTTTATGAAATATCTTTCAACTGCATTTTCTATCTGAAGGTTTATAGAGAGAGGAAAATGAATAAAAGCATAGTAAGTGAATATTTGGTAACATTTTGCAGCTTTATTCATGTCTAACGAACATAAAACACACTTCCAATATTTAAAGTGTAAATGAGATGAATTTGATATGTACATGTGCCCATTAAACAATCACCATGAAGGGGACAATGAGCATATCCAATACTCTCAAAGCTTCCTAGTTCTCTTTTGTAATGCACACTCATACCTCTCAGGTGTGAAGTATTGAGCTTCACACATACACACAAATATATACTGGGATATCTAATTGTTTCAGAAGCATTTGTTGAAAATGTTATGTCCATGAATGGTCTAAGAACTTTATCAAAAATTAGCTGATAGCTGATATACATGTGTATATCTATATTTGTACTACATTGTCTTAAGTATTACTGTAACGTTCTAAGTCTTGAATCCAGGTGCTGTTTATTCTCCAGCAGCACCTGGTTTCAAAGTAACTGTTTCCTTTCAAAGTAATTTGCCATTATAGGTCCTCTACCCATTGATGTACATTTCAGAATTTTAGTTTCTCAATTTCTAAAATAAGAAATCCAGCTGTGATTTGATTGGAATTGTTATAGATCAATGTGGGAAGAGTAGACATCTTAACAATATAGAGATTTATGACTCATAAATTCCATTTATTTAGGTCTCATTTATTTTAGCAATATTTTGTAGTTTTGTAGTTTTCAAATGTTTCTCTTTTTTGCTGGTTTATCTCTAAGTACATATTTTGATATTTACAATAATATCAAAATTATGGTAATATTAATGCAAATGTTGTTTTATTTTTTTCCTCCATTAATTGTCAGGTAGTTTTAAATCATAATTTAATTGTATGATAAAACTGAATTTTGCGAGAAATGTATACATATTGTATATATACTGTTTGTCAGTTTGGCAGATTGACTGCATTATCATATCATAATTTAAAATTGCACTAATTACCACTCAGCCTCCTCTCAAGGACAATATATCAAAATATATAGCATGTTTCAGTTTATTTAGCATCATGAAACTCTCATATTGCACTTACTTTTGGAAACCTGGAATAATAAAATAATGTAAATATCAGTTCACAGGCGACATATAAGTACATGAGACAATTTTCTAAATATCTACCTATCGCTCTTTAATTCTATGTTAATATTGTCAATTTTTTCCTCCTCTTGAAACTCTCTTATGCAGCTTATTGACTTTTGGTTCAATTCCTTCCCTGTTTTTCCCCCTAATCTACTTTCTAATATTTTACTGATGTTGTGCTCCTTTTTATCTGGACACTTTTAAAAAGCTGTGTAATTTCTCCTTTGTATTAAAATGCAAATCCATATCCAAAATAAATGAGCAGAGGGACCAAACAGATGTTTGTGCAGCGTGTCCATTAGCAATATTATTCACAATAATCAAAGGGAGGGAGCAGCCCTTGTGAATATTGATGGATGAGTGGTTAAACAAAATGTGGTATATACGGCAACATAATAATATTCAGCCTTAAAATATATTCTCACACATGCTACAAAATAGATGAAACTTGAAGACATGCTAAGTGAAATAAGCCAGTCAGAAAAATTCAAACATTCTATCATGCCACTTCTATGAGTTACTTAGTGAAAGTTGTAGAGACAGAAAGTAGAATGGTGATTGCTAGGGGGAAGGAGAGGGAGAGGAATGGGAAGTTGGTGTTCAATGAGTAAAGCATTTTAGTTGGAGAAGAAGACAAGTTTTGGAGGTCTATGGTGGTGACTGTTGCACAATAGTGCAAATATACTTAATGCCACAAAACTGTGCACTTAAAGTGATTAAAAAGGTAAATTTCATGTTGTGTATATCTTTCCAGAATTATAAACCTGCCATCACATTATAGAAATAAAGAGTATATTATATAGCGTTAGGTGATGCTATTTTACACATTTGCACATAATTAGAATTTCAAAGCCTTAATTTCACATAAGGTAGTCTAAGACATAACAATATTGATGTAAGAAAGCCATAAGCAATGTTTATTTTCAATCAGATTTACTAAAAAATTTTATTGAACTGGTCAATTTTCTTTGCCAATATTACTGTATTCTTATTTCTAGTAATAGAGGTGTGAGAAAGCATCAAGGAAACTTAAATTGCATTCTCATACTGACTGTATACAATAATTCTGAAAACAGCAGAAGTTATGTATATCCCCCATAAGTAAAACATGAGTAACACAACACAACAAAAATTAATAGGAGACAATTCAAATAATGGTGACTTGTTATTCTTATCTAGTTAAGTACTATTCTTTTCTAACAGGAATTTGCTATTTCAAATATATTTTCTGAGATGTCTATATTTATATTTTGAGATGACATACAAACTTGAGTCAATGACATAGAATTTTACAAATCAAGAAGCTTATTCTGGGGCCATTTCTTTTGACATTTTCTCTAAACTACTAGAGAGGCATTAATGATCCATAAATTATATTATCTATATTTACAGCATTTAAAATGTGTTCAGCATGAAATATTAGCTACAGGGTAAGCTAAATAAATTAAACATGGGATAAAGATTTATCCTTAAATATAAATTACAAGAAGACTTTGATATTAGTTTTTCACAAGTGAAGCATTCTTATAAAATGTCATAACCTTTTTGGGGAAACTCTGGGAAAAATGGAGAAACTCTGAAGGGTTTTAAGTATCTTTCCTGAAGCTACAGACTCCATAACCTCTCTTTACAGGGAGCTCCTGCAGCTCCGACAGAAATGAGTGGCTGAGATTCCTGGTTGCATAGCAGAGCTTCTCATCCAAACCCTTTCCCTTTTTAGTGTCTGTGTATCAGTACAAAAGTTCTATAAACTGTAGTTATTTTAATCCCAAAGCACAGTAATAATATATTTCATCCAAGGGTTGGCAGTTTCTGTGAGTGTTTTGTCTAATTCTCCAAAACTCTATCTACAGGATTCCAAAGAGCCTGAAAAGTAAAATATTTTAAAAAGGGGAAAGGGAGAAAGGGAAAGAAAATAAAATTAATTGCCCATTCTGTCATTGTTATTAAACACCAGAGTACATTTCTGCTAATCTAATTAAAATTAGTGACATCATTTAACATTTATGTCTTCAACAAAAGTTTGGAATCCTGAAAAAAACATTTAATTTGCTAATAAATATATTTGAATCAAATTGAAATCCTTACATATTACTTTAAATAAAGAACACAAGATGATTTATGATGTAGAAAATTCTATCCCTCATTGTCCAAAATCTAATAGTTAAATTGAACTTGTTAAATAATATTTTTGGCCAGGCATGTGGCTTACACCTGGAGTCCCAATACTTTGGGAGGCAAAGGCAGGTGGATTGCTTGAGCTGAGTAGTTGCAGACCAGGCTCGGCAACATGGTGAAACCCAATCTTTACAAAAAAAAAAAAAAAAAGAAAAAGAAAAAGAAAATTTAGCCAGGCATAGTGGCTTGCCTGCCTGTAGTCCCAGCTACTCAGGAGGATGAGGTGGGAGGATCACCGGAGTCTGGGGAAGCTGGGGCTGCAGTGAGCCATGATTGTGCCACTGCACTCCAGCTTGGGCAACAGAATGAGACCCTGTCTCAAAGAAAGACAGAAAGACAAGGAAGGAAGGAAGGAAGGAAGGAAGGAAGGAAGGAAGGAAGGAAGGAAGGAAAGAAAGAGAGAAAGGAAGGAAGGAAAATTAATAGTTTTGGTGCCAATAATCTTTACGGAATTTTGCTTTAATGAAATAGATTTAACTAAGTAGTGACATGATCTGCTTAAGTGTATTGACCCTAGCAATCAGAGGCCTCTGTATCCCCACAATGACTTAACAGTTACATTTGACAAGCCTTGATTCTCCTAACCTACGCACAGCATAGTCAGAATTTCAGAATTCCAACTTTCCCTATGCTATTTGGGCACATTGCTTAACTTCTCTAAGACTCAATATTTTTACTCTTAAGATACTACTAATAATAGTACCTAGTTTTTATGATATAATGTGCATCAAAAGCATTATACTTTCAGGCAGATGGCAATTTCTCAATAAATATTTGCTAATGTTTTAGTACAAACAGGAAAATTGGATTATGATATTTATGACACTGTTGATTCTCCTTCTAGAAACATTTGTTTCTAAAACTTGTTTTCAAATTAGAGCACTATTTTGTATTCAGATTGAAAATACTATATGTTCAGATTTTTTAAAAAACAGTATTGCATGAATGTTTTAATTAAAATATTCCTAAATGAGCTTGAGCAAGGAGGACAGGGGAGATAAGTAAAATAAGGCTTTCTGGCATAGGAGACATTTGGTGGAAATCTTTCAGCTCAACTAAGATTTGAAAAAAAAAGAGAATTTTTATAAAAAATGTAAAGGCAGGATTTACCCTGATGAGCTTGTGGAGAAAATACAGAGTCTAACATAATTCAAAAGAGACTAATCAGTCAAAGTAGTTTTGAAGGAATATCTTGAAGAAAGAGAACATAAAATGAAGATCAGGTATGTAGTTATTTTAATAATCTATCCATGAGATAAAAAGCATTGGGTTTTATTTTATTTGTCAAAAAGGGACAATAGTTCCAAGAACCATTCTTTGTTCAGCCTAAAGAGGTTTTTACATTTTGAACCAGCGACATATTGTGCTAAGTAGGATAATATCCAAATTTGTGTCTATATCAACAATTTTGTTCTCAATTAAAAACACTTTATTCACACAACTGATGACTATCTGCATTTGATTTAGTGCTGAACTGTCAAAGGGGGACTAACAAAAACAAAACATTAGAGTTGCAAGCAGTGTAAGTGGAAAATAATGATCATATTGAACTCATCATTACTGAAATAAGAAAACAAAGCAAAAAATAAATAAGAAAAAAATTGACTACATGAACATTTGCTTCTCTCCTAAGAATCAAAACCCTTAATTTGCTGTGGCAAAAAAGCATCTGGGTCCATGAACCCATGCAAAAGTCTACTGTTTCTGGGAGATAAGAAGAAGCAAAACACATCAGCTTTCAGAGAAGGTTAAGAAACCTCTCATACCCTACCCTACCCCACCTGATACCAGGCAAAGGATCACTGCTTCTGGGAGAGGGATGCAAGAAAAATACTCCTCCATCAGGAGAGGAACAAGGATTGTTTTGGGGCCCAGGATTTTGCACTAATGCAGAGTCGTGCTACTGTGGTAAAGGTTTGGAAAGTCTCCATCCAGTGACCACAGACAAAGGTATATTGTTCCTATGGAAGGAGAAATAAAAGAGTTTGTCCTTATTGTGGGGTTGAAAACTTGCAATGATATAAATCAGAGGTTTTCTACTACTGAGGTGGGAGGAGGGTAAGTTATTATTTCTTCTGCAAAAAACAACACAGGTAAGTGACAGTTTGACTCCCACTAGAATAAGAGTCAAGAAGTGTTAAAAATACCCCTTCTGTGAGTGTCCAATGATGAAACTGGCTCAAAAATAACATGAATCATCCTTCTGTCCCCAACCTGAATTTTTTGCCTAGTCACACACACACACACACAAAATGATGTTCTACAGTTAGAGAGGAACAAGAAAGTGGAGAGAGACCCTCTCTATAACATAGGTGGTAAGGACTACCGAAAGCTAACTGTGGAACAGGATCATTGGCATATGCTCTCCAGAGTCTAAGGCCCCACACAAGGCACATCACATAGCAGCCTACTGCTGGAGAAATCTGAGTTACATTGGTCACTGAATGTTTCAGACACCGCAGCAAAAAGCAACCTTTGTTCCTGCCCACACTAATAGCATGACATAAAAATGAAACAGAAATATAAAACAATCTTGACATAATTATCTCATGATCTACTGTTTTTCTACATCAGATGATTTGCATTTTTTAGAAATTGGGAGACACATAAAAGCAAGTTAGAAATTTGAGTTATGAGTTATAATATTTTCAAAGGATAAAAAGTCAACAGAATCAAATTCAGAGATAATTCAGATGTTGGAACTAAATGCAAGTAATTTAAAATAATAATGATCAAAATGTTAAAGGATCTAGTTAAAAAATACAACATGTATGGAAAAATGAGGTATTTCAGCAAAGATGGGAACAGTAAAAGGCAAAATCTAGAAATAAGTGAAAGCATGAGAACAAAGATGAATTACATCAGCAAGCTGATTAGCAGACTGGTCATCAGAGTTAAAGAAAGAAGCAGTAAATTTTATACTAGGTCAATACAAATCATTTGAATGGTAGCACAAAGGGAGGAAAGAGAAAAACCAAATAAACCAATAAACCAAGCAAATAAAATACTCCAGTGAATCCAAGAATTTTCTGGTAATATGAAATTAACTAAAATATAATTAATTGGAATTACAGAAGGAAAGTAAAAACAGAATGTGAGAGAAGAAAAATTTGAAAAAGATGACTAAGGAGACCAAATAACCTCAAAATATCCAAGAAAGATTAATACAAAATTTAAAGAACGCTAGAATAATCACACTAGTCAAACTGCTGAAAACCAATGATTACCACAAATCTTGAATTCAGTCACAGAAAAAATAGGAACACTGTGTAGAGAGATAAACAGAAACAAACATTATAATGAACTGCTTGTCAGTAACTCTACAAGTCAGAAACCAATGATACAAAATTCTTAAATAACTGAAGAAAAGTCAACCCCCAATCTTATATCCATTAACTGTAATACAGCAAAAATAACAATTAAATGACATTTTCAGATTAACACTGGAAGAGTCCCTTGCTAACAGGTATGCACTAAAATAAATGTCAAAATCATTTCTTGAGGCAAAAGGAATATGGAAGCAGGTGAAAGTTGAAACTACACAAAGAAATAAATAATGCCAGAGAAGATATAAAGATATATAACCCAATTATTTTACATTGCTCTAAAGATAATTGATTGTCTAATTTTTTTAAAAAAAGTAACTTTATATTATGGAATTCATAATATTTGAGACTATAATGCATGACATAAATAGTATAAAGGAGAGAGGAAACAGAAATATACATTTTAAGGTTTTTATACCATAGTTGGTATAGTACAAATTATAGGTTACTGTAATAAGCTAGAATAGGTATTGAAATCTCTAGAGAAACCATGAACATTTTATAAAAATGGTATGTGCATTGTTTTCATAGAACTTCCAGCTTTTATTTATTTGTTTTTATTCATTTCATTTTATTTATTTTTTTTGAGATGGAGTCTCGCCCTGTTGCCCAGGCTGCAGTGCAATGGTGTGATCTCAGCTCACTGCAACCACCTCCGCCTCCCAGGGTTCCAATGAATTCTCCTGCCTCAGCCTCCTGAGTAGCTGGGATTACAGTTGCCCACCACCATGCCCAGCTAATTTTTGTATTTTTAGTAGAGACGGGGTTTCACCATGTTGGCCAGGCTTGTCTCAAACTCCTGGCCTCATGATCGGCCCACCTCAGCTTCCCAAAGTGCTGGGATTACAGACTTGAGACACCATACCAGGCCCCAGCTTTTAGTTTTTAAGGTAGTTGTTATTACATGTGAAGTAAGCTTATTCTTAAATATCCATGTTTTGAGAATTAATGATGACAAATTAATTTATCTCAATCTAAATGATATTTTAATATTAAATATTTAAATATTTTTATTATTTTTCCTTTTTAACAGAAGTCATTCTAACTGGTGTGAGATGGTATTTCACTGCTGTTTTGTTTTGCATTTCTCTGATGATTAGTGATGGTATGCATGTGTTAATATGTTTGTTGGCCACATATGTGTTCTTCTGAAAACTGTCTGTTTATGTTCTTTGCCCATTTTTTAATGGGGTTATTTATTTTTTGCTCGTTGATTTGCATAAGTCTCTTATGGCTTCTGGATAATAGGCCTTTGCTGTATGCATAGTGTGTGAATATTTTCTTCCATTCTGTAGGCTGTCTGTTCAATCCCTTGAGAGTTTCTCATGCTGTGTAGAAGAAGCTCTTTAGTTTAATTAAATCATACTTGTCAATTTTCATTTTTCTGGCAATTGCTTTTGAGGACTTACCCATAAATTCATTGCCAAGTGCAATGTCCAGATGAATATTTCCTAGGTTTTCTTCCAGGATTTTTATAGGCAGAGGATGTAATCTCATGTCAATGGGTCTTAATAATCAAATGACTCCACACTGAGAATCATTACTGTGAAAAATCGATTTTGTTATAATGATGGAAATTTAAACATATAAAAGTAAAAACAGATGCCACCTCTTTGCTAGAACTCCACAAGGCAAATTACTACAAGAGAGGCAGAGAAAACACGATATATATATATATATAATCTCCAAAATATAATTTGCAGTGAAATAAATGAAAGCACATTATAAATAAACTTACCTGATTTTACAAACTAACCTGTAAAGGGATTTGTACTAATTTTTCCATTGCCTGCATTGCCTTTTCTTCTAGATCCAATTTATATTTTTGTACTTCACCAATGTGTCTTCACCAATGTGTACTTTCCATACGTTTTTTAAGATTTAATATTACTTCTTCCAACATCTTTTTAGCCTCAAGTTTTTTACATTCCTGTTGTATTTTTTCATACATAATAACTCCTGTTGAATACCTTGTTTTGAGTCAAACAGACATATTTTGAAGATACAGCTTCCAGCTCTGCTGTAAGATC